>NT_187420.1:228076-333444 GCF_000001405.40 Homo sapiens
CCCCCACCCCACCCCACCCATCCCGCCTCATGAAATGAGCTCTTGCTCCATCAGGCTCTATTCACGCCCTGTGGTTTTGTAACCTCCAGTGTGTATGCGTGGGTTGCGGGCTGGGGTGGGGACGGCTGTGGACAGAGGAGGGGATAAAGCGGCAGTGTTCCGCGGGTTCCCGGGACGTGGGACGTGAGTGGGGTGGCCAGAGCCTAGTTAACTCATCGCCTGTCAGGACATCTTACCTCCTGGTCCCCTCTCTGACCTACGCTCCACATCTTCACAGTTCAGTGGGGACCTTGTGGGTGGAAGTCACAATCCCTTTCTACTTTAGCCTACGAAGGCCAGGCTCCCAAGAGTCTCCCCGGAGTCGGGGCCTTGGGCAGGCTCACAAGGATGCTGATGGTGACGGTTGGTGACGGCGATGTAAATTGGAGGCCTCGGGCCAATGCAGAGGTATCCATTTGACCTCGGTGGGACAGGTCAGCTTTGCGGAGTCCCATGTGTCCTTCCAGAGACTCATCCAACGATAGCAAGCATGGTCCTGAGGATCCCAGCTCCCAGCAGAGGCACTTTTGTTCACACAGAATCCTGGGCAGGAAAGTTCTCAGCAGGTTTACGCCTCCTAGCCAAAAAGTCAAAGCCACTTCTGGGATTTTTTTTTCAAAGAGCCAGTGGTTCCACAAGGGGCCATGGGTAGTTGTGGAAATGGAGAGACGTGTTTGAAGATACATATTTGAGACAGAACAGACAGGGCTCGGTCACAGTTCATGTAGAACACGAGCAGATGCACATTAAGAAAACCCTCCCAGCATCCTAGGTGAACAGAGGTATGATTTTTTGAGACAGTCGAGGGAGACGCAACCCCAGATTTTATGGTTGGATCTTTATTAATATGTAGTATCTATGAGGTATCCAAGTCCAGAAATCAACTCGCCAGTTCTGTACAGCATTCTGTAGGGAGATCAAATCTGGGATGTCTCATGTTAAGAATTCAGGTCGTGGTAATGGATTAGATTAGATGTACTTGAACTTATTTTGCAAAGAAAGAGAGGGCGGGAGATAGCGAGAGCCAGAGAGCGGGCGAGAGAGAGAGATACAGAGACAAAGACAGAGACAGAGAGAGACAGACAGAGAGACACAAAGATACATAAAGAGAGAAAGACAGAAAGAGAGAGACAGACAGATAAAGACACAGACAGAGAAAGACAGAGATGGACAGAGACAGAAAGAAACAGAAAGAGACAGAGACAGAAAGAGAGAGAGACATACAGAGAGAGACAGACAGACAGGCAGGTAGACAGTCAGAGAAAGAGAGTAAGACAGAAGGCAGAAACACACACACACACAGAGACAGAGACAGATGGACAGACAGAGAGAAAGAAAGAGAGAGACAGACAGAGAGAAAGAGACAGAGAGAGAAAGACAGAGACAGACAGAGGGAGACAGAGAGAAACAGAGACAGAGAGAGAGAGAAACAGGCAAGGAGAGAGAGAGACAGACAGACAGACAGGCAGAGAAAGACAGTAAGACAGAAGACAGACACAGAGAGAGACAGGCGGAGAGAGACAGACAGAGAGACAGAGACAGAGAAACAGACAGGCAAAGAGAGAGAGAGAAAAAAACAGACAGACAGGGAGAGAGAGAGAGACCTACAGACAGACAGGCAGAGAGAGAGACAGAGACAGCGAGACAGAGAAAGAGAGATACAGACAGACAGACAAAGAGACAGACAGAGAAAGACAGAGATGGACAGAGAGAGACAGAGAGAAACAAATAGAGAGAGACAGAGAGAGAGAGAAAGAGAGAGAGAGACAGACCGGCAGAAAAAGAGTAAGACAGAAGACAGACACAGTGAGAGAGACAGGCAGAGAGAGAGACACACAGAGACAGAGAGACAGAGAAAGAAAGAGACAGACAGAGAGACAGAGAAAGACAGAGATGGACAGAGAGAAACAGAAAGAGAGAGAGACAGAGAAAGAGACAGAGACAGAGAGAAACAGACAGACAGACAGGGAGAGAGAGAGAGACAGACAGACAGAGAAAGGGAGTAAGAGAGAAGACAGACACAGTGAGAGAGACAGGCAGAGAGAGAGAGAGAAATAGGCAAAGAGAGAGAGACAGAGAAAGATAGAAGACAGATAAAGAGAGAGAGAGAGACAGAGAGAGGAGGAGGAAGGGCATGCTCAGGAAATAATTACACATATTTTATAACGCTTTTGATCCCATAAACGGTGGCCGGGGTGTGCTTTGAAAACAACTACAACAGCAGCAAGAGCAGCAGCAGCAGCAAGAGCAGCAGCAGCAATCGCTTACGGATTTCTAGAACATAAGATGTTCTGAAGTCTAGTAAACATCAACCGGCTCTCACTATACGTTCAGAGATTCACAAAATCGTTAGTTAACAACAGGAGAAAACCGCAGCTAACATGTCTTGGGGAAAATATACGTCTTCCTGAAAACTGGGGATTTCTACTTCATCTAAAAAGAAATACATAAGAAAAAGGAAAAACACGAACAAAACAAAACAAGCCAACAAACACAGGCCAAGGCACTGTCCCTGGAAATCTTAAGTGAGCAAAGTATTAGTTTTCAGAAAGCATTTCTATTTTGGGCTAATACTAAGAAGGCCCAGACTAGAGCTGTGACGTCATTCCCACTGTGAAACTATGCTGGACTGAGGGCGGAGAAACTAAAACATCATGATAAAAGGTGATAGAGACCCAGCCGGGGTGAAGCTTTCCTAGGGAGGGAGGCCTGAGGAGGGAAGCGGGGCAAAAACCCCACAACTGCAGGCCCGCCCGCTTGCCCACGCGGGTCAAGGGCTATGCCATCGGCCCAAGCTGCCTCTGGGGAAGTAGGACCGGGCCACCCCCATCTTCAAAAATGGTGGCCACTGAGTGAGGCCTGAAGCCCACCGATGCAAATGTCAGCCTGGCAAGAATGAGATAGCCGGCAAGCGGTGGGGGAAGGGGAGAGAAGACGGAGGCACACCGGGGTGGCTCCGGAAGGTTTCCAAGCAGGGTGTTGGCAGGCGGGGTTGGGGGATTTGGGAGGAACCCACCTAACTGTCTCACTAAATGAAGATAAAGGGACGTGGGTAGTGGGGGGAGCCGGGGCGGGACTTGAAATTTAAACTGACCCCTCCTAAAACCCAAGTAGAAGAGTCTATGCGCATGAAAGAAACCAAAACAGAAAGAAAACTAAAGCGCTGATCAAAGAACAATAGGGCCCCCGCCAGGGCGGAGGTTCCCTAGGCAACGAGGGAGAGAGGGAGGGGTCTCCAGAAGGGAGAGAGAGAAACCGTTTGCCCCAGGCTCGGTGAAGTCGGCCAGACCTCTCTCCATGTCACCTCGACTTTCAATAACAGTGGCCGCTAGGTGATGCCCAAAGACAACCGATGCCTGCAAGTGTCAGTCAGCAGGGAAAAGAATGCATTTATTTATTTATTTATTTAGAGACACAGTCTCAATCTACAGCCCGGGCTGTAGTGTAGTGGCGCGATCTCGGCTCCCTGCATGCTCCGCCTCCCAGGTTCAAGCGATTCTCCTGCCTCAGCCTCCCGAGTAGCTGGCATTACAGGCACCTGCCCCACCGCACCTGACTCAATTTAGTATTTTTAGTAGAGACGGGGTTTCGCCCTGTTGGCAAGGCTGGTCTCGAACTCCCAACCTCAGGTGATCCACCCGTCTCTGCCTCCCAAACTGCTGGGCTGACAGACGTGAGCCACCGCGCCCGGCCTCAACCATGTATTTTTAAGTCGAGGAGCTTATCAGGGAAATACGAGAAGTAGGGACGCCACACATGACAGGGAGAAACGTTTGAAAATGCCCCTTCCATCCAAGTGGGGACCCGGCCTCGACCCCTCGAAATCATACACCGAGTGGCGAAGCCTAGCAAGGACCGTCTGTCTAGATACCTCTCGGCCTCTCTAAGCAGGCGCTTCTCACTTTCGTGGAAGGGGCAGGGCCCTCCCCGGCAAAGGGGCTCTGACAGACTGACAGAGAGACAGACATAGAAAGACAGAGATGGACAGAGAGAGACAGAGAGAAACAGACAGACAGGGAGGGAGAGAGACAGAGAGAGAGAGAGACAGATAGAAACAAACAGAAAGAGAGAGACAGAGAAAGAGAGAGAACAGACAGACACACAGAGACAGACAGAGAGAGACACAGAGAAACAGAAAGAGAGAGAGATGGAGAGAGAGAGAGAAAGGGAGGGAGAGAGACAGACAGACAGACAGGCAGATAAAGAGAGTAAGACAGAAGACAGACACAGTGAGAGAGACAAGCAGAGAAAGAGAGACAGAGGAAGAGAGACAGAGATGGACAGAGAGAAAGAGAAAGAGAGAGACAGAGACAGAGAAAGAGAGAGAAACAGACAGACAGGGAGGGAGAGTGACAGAGAGACAGAAAGACAGAGAGACAGAGAAAGACGGAGACAGACAGAGAGAAACAGACAGAGAGATAGATGGAGAGAGTGAGAGATAGAGAGGGAGAGAGAAACAAAGAGAGGGGGAGAGAGAGACAAACAGACAGGCAGAGAAGGAGAGTAAGACAGAAGACAGACACAGTGAGAGACACAGGCAGAGGGAGACAGAGACAGAGAGAAAGAAAGAGAGAGACAGACAGAGAAAGAGACAGACAGAGACAGACAGAAACAGCAAGAGAGAGAGACAGAGAGAGAGAGAGCGAAAGAGACAGAGGGAGAGAAACAGACACGGAGAGACAGAGACAGACAGAGAGAGAAACCGACAGAGAGGCAGAGAAAGAGAGAGAGAGAAAGAAAGAGAGAGACAGTCCAGGCGCGGTGGCTCACTCCTGTCATCCCAGCACTTTGGGAGGCCAAGGCGGGCGGATCACAAGGTCAGGAGATCGAGACCATCCTGGCTAACACGGTGAAATCCCGTCTGTACTAAAAATACAAAAAATTAGCCGGGCTTGGTGGCGGGCGCGTATAGTCCCAGCTACTCGGGAGGCTGAGGCAGGAGAATGGCGTGAACCTGGGTGGAGAAGCTTGCAGTGAGCCAAGATGGCGCCACTGCACTCCAGCCTGGGCGACACAGACTCCGTCTTGAAAAAAAAAAAAAAGAAAGAGAGAGACAGACAGAGGAAGAGACAGACAGAGACAGACAGAGAGAAACAGACAGAGAGAGAGACAGAGAGAGAGAGAAACAGAAAGGTAGGGAGGGAGAGAGAGACAGGCAGAGGAAGAGAATAAGGCAGAAGACAGACACAGTGAGAGAGACAGGCAGAGAGAGACGGACAGAGACAGAGAGAAAGAGACAGAGATGGAGAGAGAGATACAGAGAGAAATAGACAGAAAGAGAGAGAGACAGAGAGAGAATGAGAGAGAGAGAGACAGAAAGGGAGGGAGAGGGACAGACAGAGAGAGAGACAGATAGGTAGAGAAAGAGAATAAGACAGAAGATAGGCACAGAGAGAGAGACAGAGAGAGAGAGTGAGAGAGATAGACAGAGAGACTCAGAAAAAGAAATACAGAGACAGACAGAGAGACAGAGAAAAACAGAGACGGAGAGAGACAGAGAGAAACAGACAGAAAGAGAGAGACACAGAGAGAGACAGAAACAGAAAGGGAGGGAGAGAGAGAGAGACAGACAGGCAGAGAAAGAGAGAAGACAGACACTGTGAGACAGACAGAGAGAGAGAGACAGAGACAGAGAGAAAGAAAGAGACAGACAGACAGACAAAGAGACAGATAGAGAAAGACAGAGATGGACAGAGAGAGACAAAGAGAAACAGAGAGAAAGAGGGAAGGTCCTAGCCCAGTAGCGATACAGTGACTTTTCTTTCATTTTCTTTCTTTTCTGGTTTTCTTTTCTCTTCTTTTCTTTTCTTTTCTTTTCTTTTCTTTTCTTTTCTTTTCTTTCTTTCATTTATTTATTTATTTATTTATTTGGAGACCAAGTCTCACTCTGTCGCCAAGGCTGTAGTGCAGTGGCAACATCCTGGGTCACTGAAACCTCCACCTGCGAGGTTCAAGCGATTCTCCCGCCTCAACCTCCCGAGTAGCTGGGATTACACGTGCCTGCCCCACTGCGCCTGACTCAGTTTCGTATTTTCAGTAGAGAAGGGGTTTCACCATGTTGGCTAGGCTGGTCTTGAATTCCTGACCTCGTGAACCACCCACCTTGGCCTCCCAAAGTGCTGGGATGACAGACGTGGGCCACTGCGTTCAGTGTACAGTGCCATTTCTTAGAAATCACTCATGGGAATGCACACTTATAGGTCATGTGTAGAGATTTTATTTATTTGTTTGTTTGTTTATTTATTTATTTATTTATTTGCACGGGAAGGTGGGGGGACGGAGTTTTGCTCTTGCTGCCCAGGCTAGAGTACAATGGCGTAGGGGACCCAAGGAGTTAACCTATGGCAGAGACGACACGTCATTCTGAGTGTAAGGGCCGCAGCGAAAAGTGTCATGGCTCCTGCTTTTAAAGACTGAAATCCCGGCGGCTCAGGCCTGTCGTCCCAGAACTTTGGGAGGCCCAGGAAGGTGGATCACTTGAGGTCAGGAGTTCAATACCAACGTGGCCAACATGGAGCAACCCCGTCTCTACTAAAAATAGAAAAATTAGCCGGCTGTCGTGGTGCGCGCCTGTAATCCCAGCTACCGAAGAAGAATCACTGGAACCCGGGAAGAAGAGGTTTCAGTGAGCCGAGAGAGCGCCACTTCAATGCAGGCTGGGTGACAGAGCGAGAGAGACTCAGTCCAAAAAAAAAGAAAAGAAGAAAAAAAAAAGAACAGGCCCAAATACTGCATTGTCGCTGAATGTTCCCCCAAAAGGCCGGAAACCCCCTGACTCAGGTACAGGAGGTGCTGTTTCGTTTCACTTCTCTCTCTCTCTCTCTCTCTTTCCCTCTCTCCCTCTCTCTCTCTCTCCCTCTCTCTCTCTTTCTCCCCTAACTTTCATTTCTTGTTCAAACATAAATGTGTAAGATTGTTACATAGGTAAACTTCTGACGGGGGGGTGTTCAGTGTGCAGATGATTTCATCAGCCAGATACTCAGCGCAGTACTCGACAGTTTTCATGTTTTGTTTTTTCCTGAAGCTGTCTTTCCTTCCACCCCTCCTCCCTCAAGTAGGCTCCCGCTTCTCTGGTCCTCCTCGTTCTGCCCATGCAGAACTGTCATCTATAAGTTCCCACTTATGGATGAGAACACGCGGTATTTAGCTGATTGTTGCTTTCATCTTCGGCGGTGGCAGTGAAAGAGGCATGACACTAAATCGGCCCTTAGGACGCTCCCCTCCGTCCCCACCCCACACCACCTCCCCATACACACCCTCATTCCTGCATCCCCTCCTCAAACGCAGGAAAGGAAGAAAGACAAATTAAAGTAAGAGGTCAGCCTCCAAGGCGGTGGAGTCAGGGGATCTCAAAGGGTGATCAAGCGATGGGGGTCGGGGGATGTCTTGGCTGAGCTTTCAACAATAGGGGACCGAGTTTCCAGCCCCACCCACACCCCCTAATCCTCAGCCGCAGCCAGCCTCTGGGTTGTGCATTTGAATGGGGCTTTAGAAGGCGGTGCTGCGTCTTCCAAAGCGATGCACCTGGCCTCGCCTCGCCTCGCCTCGCCTCGCCTCAACCAGAGCGAGACTCCGTCTCAAAATCAATCAATCAATCAATCAATAATAAAAAAATTCATCAATGAAAGAAAGAAAGAAAGAAGAAAGAAAGAATTAGTACAGCGATCATGGTCGTGAATCATTCCCCGGAGTCCAGGCACAGTGGCTCACGCCTGTCACGCCAGCACTTTGAGACGCTGGGTCAGGAGGGTTGCAACAAAATGATGAGACCCTGTCTGTGGAAAAACATTTAAAAATGAAGGCCAGGAGCAGTGGCTCACGTCTGCCATCCCGGCACTTTGGGAGGCCGAGGAGGGCAGATCACCTGAGGTCGGGAGTTCGAGACCAGCCTGACCAACATGGAGAAGCCCCATCTCTACTAACAATACAAAATCAGCCAGACGTGTTGGCGCATGCCTGCAATCCCAGCTACTCTGGAGGCTGACGCAGGAGAATCGCTTGAACCCGGGAGGCAGAGGCTGCAGTGGACAAGATCACACCATTGCACGCCAGTCTGGGCAACAAGAACGAAACTCTGTCTCGGGAAAAAAAATAAATAAATAAATAAAAATGATCTGGGCACAGTGGCGCATGCCTGTGGTCCCAGGTACTCTACTCTGGAGGCTGAGGTGGAAGGATCACTTGAATCCAGGAGCTTCCACGCTGCAGTGAGTGAGTTATCATGGCACCACTGCCAGGGTGACAGAGCGAGACGCTGTCTCTAAATCAGTCAATCAATCAATCAGATCACTAGAAGGCGCTGTCTGTGTCTTACTTTCAAAGGGTCTCTCTTTAGGCCAAGCAGGCATGGTGCCTCAGGCCAGTAATCCCAGCACTTTGGGAGGCCGAGGCGGGAGGAAAGAAGGAAGGGAGGAAGAGATGAAGGGAGAAAATAAGAAAGGCAGGAAGTCAGTCAGGCAGGAAAGAAAAGAAAGAAAGAAAGAAAGAAAGAAAGAAAGAAAGAAAGAGAAAGAAAGAAAGGGAAAGAAAGAAAGAAAGAAGAGAAAGAAAGAGAGAAAGAAAGAGAGAGAGCAAGAGAAAGAAAGAAGAAAGAAAGGAAGGAAGAAGAGAGAAGAAAAAAGAAGAGAGAAAAGAAAAGAAGAAAAGAAAAGAAAAGAAAACGGGGAGGGGCATATCTCTTTGACTAGTGACTACCCAGGATACAGCTGACTGAAGCCTCGACCTGTGGGGCCTCAAGTGATCTTCTCCTTGTCTCAGCCTCCCGAGTAGCTGCGACTACAGTCGGGTATCAGCACGCACAACTCATCTTATAACAATATTATGATTATTATTGAGACAGAGTCTCACTTTATCTCAATAATTGCCATGGCACGATCTCAGCTCACTGCAACCTCGGCCTCCCTGGTTCAAGCAACTCACCCGCCTCTGTCTTCTGAGTAGTTGTGATTACAAACCTATGCCACCAGGCCTGGATAATTGTTCTATTTTTCATAGAAATGGGGTTTCGCCATGTTGGCCAGTCTGGTCTTGAACTCCTGGCCTCAAGTGACCCACCCGCCTTGGCCTCCCAAAGTGCTGGATTGACAGGCGTGAGCCACTGTGCCCGGTCCAGATAATCTTTTTAATAAGTTGTAGAGAAGGGGTTTCGTCAGCAGCTGGGTGGAGGGTGGGGTGGGTTTTACTCAGACTGCATAATGTGAAAAGTGTAAATTAGTGTGGTTTGTGAACTAGATGTGGAAATTGTGTGTGTGTGTGTGTGTGTGTGTGTGTGTGAGAGAGAGAGAGAGAGAAAGAGCAATCCCACCATGAGGACCCCGAAATGGTGTTTGATTTGGGTCCCTGTCTAGTCACCTCTCTGTCTGTAGATGACTGAGGATTCCACAAATGAAGGTCAGCAGTATCTATTGAGCTGTTTCTCCCTCTCATGGGTCTCGTCTGTGTGGTGGAGAAAGGGAAGAAAAGAGGTTCTGATGGGAAGTTGTCTTCATGCCTGAGGAAGCTGAAGGCAGGCTGAGGGAAAGGAGGGCATCCTATGTGACATTTCCATACCTGCGCACCCTTTACAATGATGGGGCTGCCAGTCCACCCTGTACGTCAACCCACCCCCAAGAACAGCACGGTCCGGGGTGATCCAGTCCATCCCATCCGGCCCACCCGGGGCATCTGGTGGAAGTCTTCGTTGCAGGATTCCAAAGCAGCATCAACGTCCTTCCCTTGGGGTCGCCGGGCAAAGGCCAGCTGGAGGAGGGCGGCGGGATGTGAAGGGGGGAGGGGCATCGGCCTCAGAGCTCCCTGGAAGGTGGCAGGCAGCTGGTGGGGGATGCTGAGCCAGAGACGTCTGGCAGGATATAGATCTGGAAGCCACGTCTGTCCTCTCCCATACCTCTCCCATGGAAAATCCCATCGCGGTGGTGGGAGCCTTGGCTGGGGGAGAAGCAGGGACAAGGGGAAGAGGGAAGGAGGCCCTCGGGAGGATTTAGCACCAAAAACCCACCCAGTCAAGCTCCCTCCCTCCTATGGGGTCCAAGGTACACCCTGGGAGGCGGCAAGAGAAACGTTCACCCCATGCTTTTTGTCTTTCTCTTTATTTTTTTCATCTTTTCAATTTTAAAAGAGATGCTCATTTCAACAACTAGACGGTGGATGTGACGGGAGAAGTGTCAAGGCCAGGAGTTTGAGACAAGCCCGAGCAACTGAGCAACACAAGTAGGAGAGCCCAGCTGAAAACAATGAAAAAAAGAAGGAGGAGGAGGAGGAAGAAAGAAAAGAAAAGAAATAAAAAAAAAAGAAAAGAAAAGAAAAGGAAAAAGGAAAACAACCACCAAGAAAGTTAAAATTCTCCAATGGTGCAGGCACAAAAAAGAGCGATTTCACGTCTTTTCCCACAATATGGATAGAGCTGGAAGCAAGTATGTACCCAGTGAACTGTCTTCTGCTTACAAGTGGGAGGTAAACAGTGGGTACGCACACGGTCATCAAGATGGAAATAGCAGACACTCCAAAAGGGAGGAGGAGGGTAAGAGGGGGACGAGGGATGAATAAATCGCCCGTCAGAGACAATGTTCGCCACTTGGGTATCGGATACACTGGAGGTCCACTTCTACAACTGGAGGCAGCAGTAGGCCTTTCTAACAAACAAGCACGTACACCCCCTGAGTCTGTAAAATACCAAAACAATGACGACAGCACCACCAGCAGCAACAACAACAACAGAACAGAAGCTGGAACACAAAACCACCACCACCACAATCACCAGTTGGGGGTTGGGGGAGGGTGGCCGCGCTCAAGGCCCTCAGGCCCAGTCCCCTCGGGTTTAAAAAAGAAAACAGCAGACTCATTCCTGTCTGTAGGCAGGAAAAATCCAATCAAAGTTCTCCATTGCTAGAAAGGGAAGTAGAATAAGGAGAAGGGCTTATTGATCTTCTTGTGGTCGATCGAGACCATACATGTAGTAAAAAATTAAATTCAGACAGCAATACTTTCTACACTGTTCAAAAGCATCGGAGATCAGACGCACCACACTCCATGGGGCTTGTGCCACTAGAAAGAAAAGGCAGGCCGAGTGAGGTGGCTCACGCCTGTCATCCCAGCACTTTAGGAGGCCGAGGCGGGCGGATCACGAGGTCAGGAGATCGAGACCATCCTGGCTAACACGGTGAAACCCCGTCTCTACTAAAAATACAAAAAAATTAGCCAGGCCTGGTTTGGGCGCCTGTAGCCCCAGCTACTCGGGAAGCTGAGGCAGGAGAATGGCATGAACCAGGGAGGCGGAGCTTGCAGTGAGCCGAGATAGCACCACTGCACTCTGGCCTGGGTGAAAGAGCGAGACTCCGTCTCAAAAAAAAAAAAAAAAAAAAAAAAAAAAAAAGCCAGACATAGTGCTGCATGCCTGTAGTCCCAGCTACTAAGGAAGCTGTGGTAGAACAATCACTTGACCCAGCAGTTTGAGGCTGCAGTGAGCTATAATCATGTCACTGCACTCTGGACTGGGTGACAGAGCGAAATTCTATCTCAAAACAAAGAACAATGAAAAACCTACAAGCATACTCAGAGATAGTGTGGGTTTGGTTCCAGACAACCACAAGAAGGTAAATGTTACAAACAAGTTAGTCGCATAAACACTTTGTTTCCCAGTGCTTATAAAAGTTATGCTTAAACTATGTTGTAGTCTAATGAGTATTTAATAATTATTAATTAATTAATTAATTAGTAATTGCATTATGTCTACAAAACTATGTACATACCTTAACTTAAAATACCTCATTGCTGAAAAATACTAATGAATATCTGAGCCTTACCAAGTCATAATCTTTTTGCTGGTGAGTGAAGTGGTGGCTCACCCCTCCAGACTTGTGGGTATTTCTAGTCAGGTGGGACAAGAGACTGAGAAAAGAAGTAAGACACAGAGACAAAGTATAAAGAAACAACAGTAGGCCCAGGGGACCGGCGCTCAGCATACCAATGACCTGCACAGGCACCGGCCTCTGAGTTCCCTCAGTTTTTATTGCTTATTATTTTCATTATTTCAGCAAAAAGGAATGTAGTAGGAGAGTAGTGTGATAATAAGGAGAAGGTCAGCAAAAAACATGTGAGCAAAAAAATCTATGTCATAATTAAGTTCAAGGGAAGGTACTATGAGTGGACGTGCACATAAGCCAGATTTATGTTTCTCTCCACCCAAACATCTCAGTGGAGTAAAGAATAACAAAGCAGCATTACTGCAAACATGTCTCGCCTCCCACCATAGGGCGGTTTTTCTCTTATCTCAGAATTGAACAAATGTACAATCAGGTTTTATACTGAGACATTCAGTTCCCAGGGACAGCCAGGAGACAGTGGCCTTCCTCTATCTCAACTGCAAGAGGCTTTCCTCTTTTACTAATCCACCTCAGCACAGACCCTTACCGGGTGTCGGGCTGGGGGACAGTCAGGTCTTTCTCATCCCATGAGGCCATATTTCAGACTATCACATGGGGAGAAACCTTGGACAATATCCCGCTTTCAAGAGCAGAGGTCCCTGCGGCTTTCTGCAGTGCATTGTGCCCCTCGTTTATTGAGACTAGAGAATGGCGATGACTTTTACCAAGTATACTGCTTGTAAATATTTTGTTAACAAGGCACATCCTGCACAGCCCTAGATCCCTTAAACCTTGATTTCATACAACACATGTTTTTGTGAGCTCCAGGTTGAGTCAAAGTGGCTGGGGCAAAGTGGCTGGGGCAAAGCTACAAATTAACAACATCTCAGCAAAGCAATTGTTTAAAGTACAAGTCTTTTTCAAAATGGAGCCTCTTACGTCTTTCCTTTCTGTATAGACACAGTAATAGTCTGATCTCTCTTTCTTTTCTCTTACAGTGAGGGTCTTGCCTCTATGTTGATGGCTGCTGACTGATCAGTGTGGGGGCTGCTGAAGGTTGGGTGCTTGTGTCAATTTCTTAAAACAACGAAGTTTGTTCCTTTCACAAAATATTTCCCTGTAGCATGTGATGCTGTTTGATAGCATTTTATTCACAGTAGAACTTCTTTCAAAATTGGAGTAAACCCTCTCAAACCCTGCTGCTGCTTTATCAACTAGGTTTATGGAATATTCTAAACACTTTGTTGTTATTTCAACAATGTTCGTAGCATCTCCACCTGGAGTAGATTCCATCTCAAGAAAATATTTTCTTTGCTCATCCATAAGAAGCAACTCCCCAGATGCTCAAGTTTCATCATGAGTTTACAGCAATTTAATCTCATCTAAAGGCCCTAATTCTAATTCTGGTTGTCTTGCGATTTCTACCACATCTGTAGGGACTTCCTCCACTGACATCCTGAGCCTTCAAAGTCTTCCATGAGGGCTGGAATCAACTTCTTCCGAACTCCTGTTAATGTTGATATTTCAACCTCCTCCCATCAATCACAAATGTCCTTAATGGCATTTGCTATTAAGAACATTTATGATTCACGGGAAGAGGTTGAAATATCATGAAAGGATTAATGGTGAAACCTTTCCAAAAGGTTTTCAATTCAGTTTATCCATATTCATCAAAGAAATTACTATCTATGACAGCTATACCTTTACAAAATGCATTTATTATTTAATAAAAACACTTGAAAGTCAAAACCACTCCTTGATCCACAGGCTGAAGGATAGATATTGTATTAGCAGCCATGAAAATAATATTAATTTCCAAGTACATCTCCATCTAAGCTTTTGGGTAGCTAGGTGAATTGTCAATAAGCAGCAATATTTTTCTTTTTTTCTTTTCTTTCCTTTTTTTTTTTTTTTTGGCCTTTATGTAGTTTCCCTCTTGTTGCCCAGGCTGGAGGGCAGTAGCATGGTCTCGGCTCACCGCAACCTCCGCTTCCAGGGTTCAAGCCGTTCTTCTGTGTCAGCCTCCCAAGTAGCTGAAATTACAGATACCACCACTATGCCTGGTTAATTTTTTTGTATTTTTATTAGAGACAGCGTTTCATCATTTTCACCAGGCTGGTCTTGAACTCCTGACCTCAGGTGATCCACCCACCTCGGCCTCCCAAAGTGCAGGGATTACAGGTGTGAGCCATTGTGCCTGGCCAAGCAGCAATCCCTTTAAAGGAATGTTTTTTTTTTTTTTTTTTTTTTTTTTTTTTTTTTTTTCTGAGCAGTAGGTCTCAATAGTGGGATTAAAATATTCAGTAAACCATGCTCTTAACAGATGTGTTGTCACTCAGACTGTAATGTTCCATTTCTAGAGCACAGAAAGAATAGATTTTGCATAATTCCTAACGGCCCTGAGATTTTCAGAGTGGTCAATGAGCACTGGCTGTAACTTAAAGTCACCAACAGCAGTGGTCCTCAAAGAGAGTCAGCCCATCCTTTGAAGTTTTGAAGCCAAGTGTGGACATCTCTCTAGCAATGAAAATTTTACATCTTCACTAAGCTTAATCATTTCTAGCTCTGGACTTCAAGTGAGAGACGTGCAATTCTTCCTTTCATTTGAGCTCTTTGAGGCCACTGTGCTTACTAATTAACACCCCCGGCGGGTGTCATCCTCCTCCCTCCTCAATCGAGTTCACCCACACCGGGGCATGGGGAACGGGGCTTGCCGCACCCCACACACCCTGCACGCCTGGGGCTCTCCCACAGGGGGCTTTCGTGAGCCAGGGAGCAAGGGCCGTCCCACCGCTCCAGCCTAGCCAGGCTGCACAGGCAGAAGGAATCTCTCAACGTGCCCCGGCACGCGGGGATTTTGTGTTTGCTGCCCTGGCCCCTCTAGAAGTAGGACTGTCCCACCCTCAGACTCCTCGGTGGCCTCCGCACCCCGAAAATGCCAGGAGGACCAGGACCCGCAGCACGGCGGCCTGCTGGGTGCATGCTCAGTGGGACAGCTTGGGTACCCTCAAGCTGAGTCACAGGGGCAAAGTATGTTTGCGCCACCCACATCCCACCAGAGTCCGTGGTGGGGCTGGAGCCCCAGGTCGCCAGGGCGGCGTGGGAAACCGAAGACGGGGCACCTCCACTTCCGAAGCTCGCGACCTCAGAGGCCTCCGGGTCAAGCACATATGCAAGCCATCCAGGCGCCTCCCAACCGCTCCATGAGCCAGGGCGCTCATCTACACTCACCCCCAGCCAGTAAACCCCCAGCCAGTAAACCCGAGAGTTCCAGCAAAAGGCACAACTTTTCCTAGATCCGGCGCCACTGGGGGAGCTGAAGGACGTGGAAGAGCCCGCTCCGCTGGAAGCACTCCTCAGCCAGGAAGAACAGCGGGCTGTGCTGGAGGAGCTTTAGGACGCGGGGTTGGGGCTGGGTAGGGGCAGGGCGGCGGCCTCTCTTTCACAGTGAACCTCTGACTTGGTATGGAGAGGCGTGTCTTCCCTTCCAGCTGACCTGCCTAGGATCCCTGAGTTCCAGGTCCCGTGAGAGACTCCACTCAGAGGAGGGCTGTCATTCTTTTCTGAGCATCCCGGGGATCCCAGGGCCCCTCCAGGTACCGGGAGGCGGACTGTCTACTGCTCATGCGCGGGTTAGCAGGCAGTAGCCTAGGTTTTCTAACTAGCCTAGGTGGAGTTCTCATCACTTCCCTCTTGCCCCCCACCGCCTTCTTCAGTGGGACGGGCGGAGACCTCCATCCCGGGAAACACTGGCCCGGGCAGGTGCCAGGTCTGCTCTTCTTTCCGCGTCTCGCCAACCTGCATCCCCACCACACCGTCACTCGCCTACCCTTGCCCCGCCAGCTTCCTCGGCATCACCGTGGAGCGCCTGATAGCTAAATGCAGACCCGAGACCCCGCGCAAACCGGGGTGCTGCCCTTTCTACGCGGGAGGGAACTCAGGCAGAGATGGGGAGAGGAACGGAGACAGAGAGGGAGGGAGCGATGGAGGGAGGAAAGAACGGATGGACCGAGGGACCTTGGAAAGGATGGAGGGATAGAAGGAAGGAGAGAGGGAAGGAGGGAGGGAGGGAGGGAATGGGGGGGGAGGAACTGCGGGAGGGACGGGGGAAAGAGGGAGGGAGGGAGCAATAAACAGAGAGAGGAAGGCAGAGAGAAAAGCAGTCTTCTGCCTCCAGGACCACCAGGATCTTGCACTCCGGGAAAATGTTGGGTGCACAATGCAGGCTAAGTGCTCGGCCCACAGCCGCGTCGGCCTGCGGGGCTCTCACCGGCCCTCTGGATCGCCGGCCTGGGTTACTTCATCCGAGAGCGATTCAGCCGAATTTCGTCTCCCAAGGAATGAGGGAATTGCCCAGAGAGCAATGAGCCGAGACTCGGGTGATTGTCCATTTTTCATCCACATGGTTCACAGATGAGATAGCCCCACGTTGAGCCTGCAACGGAGAGCTAGGTGGATAGTCTCGTCCACACAGGAGTCACACTCAGGCCGACTGAAGCGTGGTTTCGGGTTCCACGTTCCTTTGCCTTCTGCAAGGGGACCTGTTGCTCATGCATCTCTGGCCCCCGAAAGCGTGACCATGTTGACTGTTTGTTTCCCGAGCTCTCTGGGGACACAGAAACCTCCAGAGAACCGTGGAAAAACAGCATCGTGTCTTCGCTCTCCTTTCTTCCCTGTTTGGAAACAGGCCATAGTGGAGACTCCCCATGTTGCAGGAAACAGGAATCCCTCTTCAGGCCCTGATGCACCGGGCCTTTCTTTTCTCTGTAGTTTCGCTCTCGTTTTCTACATGAAAATGAACAAGATCCGTAAGGAATCAGAAAAGGATTTATAGCACACAAGTCTTGACTACTGTTACATTCCACTTTGAAATCACTCTGAGGTGAAACAACAATTTTCCAAGATTTAAAGAAAAATAGATTTTATAAAAGGGATTCTTTTATTCACTCATACATCATTTATGTTACTGACAGTAACAAGTGATATTTTTTCCACTATAATTTGCTCTGATGAAATAAATAATTCTTTTAATTCCTAACAAATGCTACATTTTCAAGACTAAAGGAATTATCAGTAGGCATTCTTTCTTCTTGATCTAAGTTATTTGTCTCTAAAATATGTCAAGTAAGCTTTTAAAGATTCAGGGAGGGGCAGCTTCATGATTTTTTCTCTCAGTAAATTTTGAGGTGGCTTCTCTGGCTTCATCGCTTCACTGTGATATTTTTCTTCCTCTTCTTTATTATTTTCTTCCATTTTTTCATCCTCCTCCCTGTCTAGAGGCTGAGGAATAAGCTGATTATCCACAAATACGTAAGTGGTAATTCTCTGTTTAATTCTCTTTCTTTTCCTTTTGGGTGGAGCCCTTTGAGGAATCCCCTTGGCCTGCATCTCATCATTTATGAAATTTCTAAGTGTGTGTCGAATGTAAATATGAGCCAAGTCCTGTAGATTCCTGACAGTGATTCCTTACAGATTTGTAGTGGTGAGGGTTAGATTTAATTTTATATAAGGTTTGAATAATTGTTAAGCTTATGTAACCTGATCTGAATTTGCACTTCCTCTATGAAAACTTCACTTATCTAATAAGGAAATCAAATGCTTTGTAGACCTATTTACCTTACTTTTGTTGCAATCACTGTTGCTGGGTTGCTGTATATATATTCCGGGCAATATATGAGTGCAATAACAATACAAAATATTGAGTAATTTAGCTTTTTAAAATCCCACAAATTTTATGAAATTTTACAGCCCTGCTACTTTTGCTTTTGAATCTCTTGCCAAAAGACACGAGTAAAATATCTGCTTCTCTCATAGAGATTTTAAGAGCACAGCAAGTGAATTATTAAAATAGGAAGTATGTACTTAATACAACTCTTTATATGGACCCTTTACATTTTCAGTATTTTAAAAAATGAGGTTACCTTAACTCTCTAGAATTTTAAAAGTATATTTAGAATTGTTTTTTCTGTAGTTCACTGTATAAAGTATTTGTTTTTTTTTAAAGAAAAGCAAAACCATTGTTATGTGTGACTCTTGATAGGCCACAGAACGAGTGAATGAGCATGAGTGAGGCCACTTTCTTAGATGGCTGTAAGTAGCAGCGCCATGGTAGATCTGGTCAGCGGATGCACTTTAGCAGATGGAACTTCTAGTTTATCTGAATATTTATCTTTGACAAGGTAGGGCTGAGCCTACATTTGCTTTGGATCTTTCTACTACAAGAAATATCCACAGAAATTGTATGTAGATACCCTTTGTTTGGAAAATCCTGTTCAGAATCATAGTGTAATCTTTGGGACTTATGTCATGCTCATTTGACTTCTTCCCATATTTTTTGTGTTTCTTTTGGTAAAACTATAATAGTTTTCATTTTTTACTTAATATCACACAATTAAACTGTCATATTTGAGCTTTATTGTAGCTTATCAGTGATAAAAAACAGATAGTAACTGCCATTGTTTGTTTCTTTGTTTTCCTACTAAGACCTGAAAACAGCCATTCCTTGTTAAGAAAGTGTGCAATGTAACATATTTGCTAGAGTTACATGGATTATATATTTCTTAAAGGGAAAAATTTGAGAGTATCATGGATTACCACCAGCATTATTATTATAGTAGTTGCTGAGATTTGGTTAAGGAAGCCCAATCAATGTATAGTGAAATGATTATTTGCTCTCTGCTAAGATTCAGATATTGTTTAAAAAATCTCAGCTCCAATAATTCCACAACATCTAAAAACAAGTGTTTGTGATCATGTGTAAGCATGAAATTGCTCCAAGTAAGTGAGGATATTGTAGTTATGTGAAAGACAGTATCAATGGAAGGTTATTTGTTTTATACCAGTGGCTGAGATGGTGGAATTGGGGTTATTTCTACAGTTATTCTTAGACGATTACTAAACTGTTAAGAAATGCCCCATATCATTTGTATCTAGGAAAGAAAAAAGTCAGTATCATACTGCTGTCATCTGTCAGAAGTGTTCATTTTATTTTGAATTAAATGTGGCTTTTGAAGTTACCTTGAATTCCTGGTGACCACATGTTTTTATCTGGAAAACCTGGGGAAAGTTATCTGTCCCATCTACCCTGCTGTTTTTTTGTTTTGTTTTGTTTTTTGTTGTTTTTTTTTTCTCGGTTGGAGCTGCTGTTTAGATGATGCTTTTACTATGTAGGAGAGAGTTTTTGTTAAGGATATATTTGAAGATTGGCTTTTCCATATTGTCTTTCATTCTTTGACCTTGGCAAAGTGTAAAGTAGATTTTCATGATCATTGCATATTTCTTGTCATTGAAATGTATCTTTTATGTTTTTAAATGCATTCATTTTACACTCATGACTTTATCATTGACTTTAAGAGGTAGAAATAAAAAATGAAAATAAAAAAATGAATGAGATCCACACACCTGCGTGTGTGACTATCACGGCAATGGTGACACCCACAGGCATTGCCGGCTTCACGGAGAGGGCCTGGAAAATCAAGACTATCATGGAGGTTCAGTTCCACACTCCACCCTTCCAGGGTGGTTTCTCCCTGAAATCGTGTGTGAACCCAGAGAGAAACTTCCAGTTTCTGTAGAATTCTGGAGAACTCAGACAGCCAGTCCCAGAAGCCCCCCTTTCCCAGCTGATCTGGCCCCACCTTCACCTACCACACAAGGCCCTGTGTCTGTGGTTTCTGGGCCCTTCGGAGGGCAGGTTACCCAGGGCCCTTGGGTGTTCATGCATATTCATGAAGGCGTGAAGCTGGTGGGTCTTTATAAGGGCCACTGGCGGGGTCGGACTCCTGCCTGGACCTGCCTGCAGCACAGAGGCCAACTGAGGCCCACGGGAGCCGCCGGCCTCTCTCTGCCCGTGTCTGTCCGTGAAATTCCGGCCAGGTGCCCTCGCAATGGCTCTCCCGACACCTTCTGACAGCCCCTTCCCCGCGAAAGCCCGAAGACGAGGACGGCGAAGGAGACTGGTTTGTAACCCGAACGAAAAAGATGCCCTGCCAGCGTGCTTTGAGCGGAACCCGTACCCGAACTGGCCAGAGAGACCCGCCTATTGGAGTCCAGGATTCAGATTTCGTGTCAGAATCGAAGGTCCAGGCATCCAGGCCAGGGTAGCAGGGAACCCGCGCAAGCAGGCGGCCTGTGCAACGCGGCCCACAGCGGGTGCCACCCTCCCTCCTTGGTCGCCTTCACCCATGCCAGGGCGTGGGGAACAGGGGGCTTTTGTGAGCCAGACAGCAAGGGTCGCCCCTCTGCTGCACCCCAGCCAGGCTTCGCAGGCAGAAGGAATCTCCCAACCTACCGCGGCACACGGGGATTTTGGGTTTGCTGCCCTGGCTCCTTCGGAAGTGGAGCTGTCCCACCCTCAGACACCTGGGTGACCTCCGCATCCGAACAGATGGCAGCAGGACCAGGACCCGTAGTACGGTGGCTTTCTGAGTGCGTGCTCAATGGGACAGCTTAGGCCGCTCAGGCTGAGTCACAGGGGCAAGGTGTGCTTGCGCCGCACACGTCCCACATGAGTCCATATTGGGGCTGGGGCCAGGGTCCACAGGTCGCCAGGGCACGTGGGAACGCGAAGCCGAGGCACATGTACCTCCGCAGCTCGTGCCCATGGAGGCCTCTACGTGTCAGAAGCAGATGTAAGCCATCCAGGCACCCTCCCAACCGCTCCAGGAGCTGGAGTCTTCATCTGTACTCGCATCCACCCTGTTATATGAGCTCCTGTCTACCCCAGAATTTCAGCAAAGGACACAACCTTTCCTAGCAATGAAGCCGCTGAGGGATTTGAAGGACTTGGAAGAGCCTGCTTTTCTGGAACCACTCCTCAGCCAGGAATAACACTCGGCTCAGTTGGAGGAGCTTTAGGACGCGGGGTTGGGACCGGGTGGGGGCAGGTCGGTGGCTCCTCTTTCGCGGTGAACCTCTGGCTCGGTATGGAGACCTGTGTCTTCCCTTCCAGCTGACCTGTCTAGGATCCCTGAGTCCAAGTCCAGTGAGAGACTCCACAGAAAGGAGGGCTGTCATTCTTTCCTGAGCATCCCAAGGATTTCAGAGCCAGCCCAGGTACTCAGAGATGGGCCGTCTACTGCGCATGTGCGGGTTCGCGGGCAGCCGGCTAGGGTTTGGGGCCAGCCCAGGCAGGGCTCTCATCCCTTCCCCCGCACCCCCACACAGTACACCCCCCCCTACCCCGCGTTCTTCAGTGGTGTAGGTGGAGTCCTCCACCCCGGGAAATACCGACCCGGGCAGCGGCCAGGCCTGCTCTCCTTTCCGCAGCTCAACTCCACTACCTCCCCGCTCCACCCACCGTCGCCCACCCGTGCCCCGCCATCCTCCTCGGCATCACGTGAAGCGCCCGGGAACTAAATGTAGACCCCGAGATCTCACGCAAACCGTGGTTCTTCCCTTTCTAGGTGGGAGGGAAGCCAGGCAGAGATGGGGAAAGGAACGGAGACAAAGTGAGAGAGAGGGACAGAGGGAGGAAAAGACAGATGAAAGGACGGACCTTGGAAGGGATGGAGGGAGGGAGGGAAAGAAAAAGAGAGGAAGGGAGGGAGGGAAAGAGGGAGAAAGGGAGGTATGGATGGTGGGAGAGAGGGAAGGAGAGAAGAACAGAGGGAGGGAGGGAGACAGGGAGGGAGAGAGGGAGAGAAGGAAGAACAGAGGGAAGGATGGACAGAGGGAGAAAAGGAGCAAGAAACAGAGAAGGGAAGGCAAAGAGAAAAGCGGTCTTCTGCCTCCAGGCCCAGCAGGACCTCGAACTCCGGGAAAATGTTGGGTGCCCAGTGCAGGCTGAGTGCTCAGCCCACAGCCGCCTCGGCCAGCGGTGTGCTCACCGGCCCTCTGGATCGCCAGCCTGGGTTACTTCATCCGGGAGCGATTCAGAGGAATTCCGCCTCCCAAGGAATGAGCGAATTCCCCAAAGAACAGAGCCGAGACTCGAATGGTTGTCCGTTTTTCATCCACATGGTTCACAGATGACATATCCCCACGCTGAGCCTGCAACAGAGCGCGAGGCAGATACTCCCATCCACACAGGAGTCACACTCAAGCCGAGTGAACCATGATTTCGGATTCCACGTTCCTTTGCCCTCTGCAAGTGGGCCTGCTGCTCACGTGTCTCTGGCCCCCGAAAGCGTGACCATGTTGACTGTTTGTTTCCCGAGCTCTGTAGGGACACAGAAACCCCCAGCAAAGCGTGGAAAAGCAGCATCGTGTCTTTGCTCTCCTTTCGTTTCCAAACAGGCCATTTTGGAGACTCCCCATGTTGCAGGAAACAGGAATCCGTCATCAGACCGTGATGCCTCAGTCCCCTGCCCAGGCTACAGGCCCACCAGGCCGCCTCCCTTTTGCTGACACTCCAGGCCTTTCCCCCGGCTTGCGAGCTCCCCATCGTCGCTTGTCCCGACGAGGACCCGCCCGTGGCCAACGGGACAGGAAGGCCCTGCTTTGCCCCGCGCTGGCACTAGAGCCTCGGCAGCCTGATCCCGGGAAACAGGGGCTGACGGACACCCAGACACACCCCACCACTACCACGAGCAAACCCAGCACGGCACACACACAGATACACACTAGTGCATGCACACAGGCACACATGGACACACACACAGACACACACACACAGACACACAAAGACACACACACGGAAACATGCACACGGACACACATGGACACACACACAAGGACATACAGACCAAGACACAGACACAGCTTGAAAGAGAGCTAGGGAGACCGGGATGGAGAGATACAAATGGGGGGAGAGAGAGAAAAGTGGATGGGGAGAGAGACAGAAGGTGACAGAAGAGCGAGGGTTGGAGGGGGAAGTAGAGAAAGGGAGAGGGTGAGGGAGTTGTAGAGTGAGAGAGACAAAGCCTTGGAGAGGGAGGCTCTGCTCAGGTAGACAGGGCGCTTTGAGCAGGCCAGGGTGAGGTGGAGGGTGTTTGGGCCAGGCTAGAACAGGGGGTCAGGGCCGCCCACGCGGGAAAACCAACTGAGCCCTGAGAAGTGTTTTTTTTTTTTTTTCTTGGATTGGTTGGTTTCTTTGGGGGTGCGTTTCATAGGGTCCTTCCTGTGTTTGCTTCTTCTTGTCTCCCTGGTGCGGTGGGCCCCGAGATTTGTAGAGTGCACCCGCCCATCTGGTGGAAGCCGTGGCACCGAGCTTGTCCACGGGGCCAGGTCTGGGTCTCTCTCGTGTCCTCGGGACTAAAGTTTACACGAAGTTGGTGGCAATGGGAAACAGGGTGCACAGGGACGGATTTCTTCGTGGCTGGCGAAGACAATGTCCTTCCCCCGGGGAAAGCAGCCCACGGGTTCTGGAGCGGAGGTCTTGGCTGGCAACTGTGGGACCTGCTGCCCCAACTTGGATGGTTGCGGGGGCGCTTGATGAATGAATTGAGTTGCCTGGGGTCCTGGGAGCAGGAAGACACCCCGGAGGGCAGGAAACCCGCGCCTGCGCCTTCCAGGTCTAGTACATGCTGCAGTGCCCCGGCTGGAGCCGGGCTCCTGGTGGGGCTGCAGCCAGGCGAAAGAGGTGGGATGCTGCCAGCTGGCGGTATTGCAGCTGCAGACCCCCACGAGGAGGTTTCATCTCGACATAAATCTTTTTCTTTCTTCAGCTGATCTGTATCCTTAATTTTAGATTAGTGGTAACTCCACAAATTTAGAGGCACAAAATATGGTTGCCCACACCTTATAATCGCATTACCACCTCCCATTACCACCACCTTTCCCCCTCCTCCCCACCCTCAACCCGTAGACTAGGTCTCGCGATGTTTCCAAGGCTGGCCTCAAACTCCTGGGCTCAAGTTATTTGCCTGTCTTGGCCTCTCAAAGTGCTGTGATCAGCGGTGTGAGTCACCAGGCCCAGCCAACCACCACGAAGTTTTCATTCAGCAGCACTGGGTCATGGAGCTAAGGACCCACAAATTTAGAAAAGTTTTTAAATATCATAACATTTCTGTGAGGAAATAGTATTTGGTATTACATTGTTAGACTCTTTTATAATGTTCTGTTTTTTTCCACCGAGCACAGTACTAAGTAGTAACTGGAAAATCACAGCATAAGTCATATTACTTTTTCTAATACAGAGTCCTTGGCTGTTCTCTAAGCTAAACCTGATCACCTACATTGAGTAAAAGAAAAAGCCCCAGAGTGTGAGGAGACAGAAGATAGTAGCCAAACATCCAAATAGGTGGGAGTGAATAAGGCAGATGACACAGATGAGATGACCAAAGGTCAAGGAAAAAGCCAGATCTTAAAGTGTGGTTTGCGAAGCTATGCTCCAATGGAAATCTTTTCTGAGAAGCCCTGATTTCTTTCTCTTGCTTTCATTAGAGACAAATATCTTCTGCCCCATGCTCTTCAATTTTCTAGGACTTAACTTCCCCTTCAACGATCATTCTTCTAGGTTACAAAGAAAATCAAAGCCCTTTGCATGGCTTACAAGGGACTGGAGGACCTGGCTCTTGCTCTTTTATTGCTTTTGAGGACATGGGGCCGTCTGTGATTTTTAACGAACTCTATGTTAAACATTTTCTAATTTCCATTTTGAGTCTTGTCTAAAATGTGTGAGAGTAGTGGAGATATTGGGATTTGGTTTAGAAATCCCAGAAACACCACATCCAGATGTCGTATGTTTTCTGCTTTATAATTTCATATCCTGTGAAGGTTTCAAATGTGATTCTACAGAAATTCATACTCAATAATTTAATCAGAACAATAAGCCTCTGCCCCATATAATAAAACCAAATGTTATTTTACTTCAAAATTTTAAGTTTTTGGTATGTATTGAGGCTAATACTGTAAACACTCTGTGCCATAATTCCTAAACTGTAATATGGTTTAATGTATCTACTTTCTACATTTAAAACATGTACTTTGCCACTGAGGAACTGAGAATATTGCTGAGCACATATTAAATAACCATTTTTTTCTTGATTTTTAAATAGTTATCATTTTATAGTTTTCTCTTGTTTAGTTTGAAGCTTACTAGGATTTTGTCATTGATATGTATATATATATATATACACATATACACACACACAAGTATATACATATGTAATTGATATATACATATATGTTTTATATATGTGTATATACACACTTATGTGAATATATGCATGTGTACATAACATTAATTTTTTGACCAATAAAAATTGCATAATTATGTATTGTGTATATTATAAAAGTTTGATAGGTATATATATTGTAAAATGTTTAATACAATTAAGTTGATGAATATTTATGTCACCTTACATGGTTATGTTTTTTGTAGTGAGAGCATTTGAGGTCTCCTACTGTTGCAGCAAATTTTAAGCATACAAAACACTGTTATTAACTACATCTTAAAGCTATACATTAGACCCCCAAAACTTATTTATCTTATAACTGAAAGTTTGTACTCTGAACACCTCATCATTTTTTCTACCTCCAGGCCTGGTCATTACCATTGTACTCTCTGCTTCTATGAGTTCAGGCTTTTTAAATTCTCCATTTAAGTGAGAACGTACAGTGTTTGTCCTTCTGTGCCTGGCTTATTTTGCATAGCATAATGTACCCAGGTCCATTCATGTTGTTGAAATAGCAGAATTTCATTCTTTTTTATGGGTGAATAATATTCAGTTGTCTATTTATACCACATTTTCCTTATCCATTCAGCATCTACAGATAAGTCATTTAAAAAAAAAATACCCTTGACAGTTGTGAATAATACTGCATTGAATACAAGGGTGCAGATAATTTTTGAGATGCTGATTTTATTTTGTTTATAGACAGAAGTGGAATTTCGGGATTGTACGATAGTTCTATTTTTTAAAATAACCTGCATACTAATTTTCATAATGACTCTTCCAGTTTGCAACTCATTAAGAATGTACAGAAATATTTGGTAACATCCTTGTTAACACTTGTCATGTTTCTTTTTTTGATATTAGCCATTCCAACTGCTGTAAACTGGTATCCTTTGATTTGCAATTTTCTCATGAATGGTAATGTTTAGCATCTTTCTACACACCTGTTGGCCATTTGAATATGTTTGTAAAAAATATTTAGTCTTGGTCAGTGGAGCCAAGAGGGCCGAAGAGGAACAGCTCCCATCTACAGCTCCCAGCGTGAGTGATGCAGAAGATGGGTGATTTCTGCATTTCCAACTAAGGTACCAGGCTAATGTAACTGGCGAGTGCCGGTCAGTGGGTGCAGGACAGTGGGTACAGTGCACTGTGCATGAGCCAAAGCAGGGTGAGGCATCGTCTCATCTGGGAAGAACAAGGGGTCAGGGAATTCCCTTTCCTAGTCAAAGAAAGGGGTGACAGATGGCACCTGGAAAATCGGGTCACTCTCACCCTAATACTGAACTTGTACAACCAGCTTCACAAACAGCACACCAGGATATTATATCCTGCACATGGCTCGGAGGGTCCTATGCCCATGGAGCCTTGCTCATTGCTAGCACAGCAGTCTGAGATCAAACTGCAAGGTGGCAGTGTGGCTGGGGGAGGGGCGTCCACCATTGCTCAGGCTTGAGTAGGTAAACAAAGCAGCCGGGAAGCTCGAACTAGGTGGAGCCACCACAGCTCAAGGAGGCCTGCCTGCCTCTGTAGGCTCCACCTCTGTGGGCAGGGCACAGACAAACAAAAGACAGCAATATCCTCTGCAGACATAAATGTCCCTGTCCCACAGCTTTGAAGAGAGTAGTGGTTCTCCGAGCACACAGCTTGAGATCTGAGAATGGGCAGACTGCATCCTCAAGTGGGTCCCTGACCCCCGAGTAGCCTAACTGGGAGGCACCCCCCAGTAGGGGTGGACTGACACATCACATGGCCGGGTACACCTCTGAGACAAAACTTCCAGAGGAACCATCAGGCAGCAGCATTTGCAGTTCACCAATATCTGCTGTTCTGCAGCCACTGCTACTGATACCCAGGTAAACAGGGTCTGGAGTGGACCTCCAGTAAAGTCCAACAGACTTGCAGCTGACGGTCCTGACTGTTAGAAGGAAAACTAACAAACAGAAAGGACATCCATGCCAAAAACCCACCTGTACATCACCATCATCAAAGACCAAAGGTAGATAAAACCACAAAGATGGGAAAAAAAACAGAGCAGAAAAACTGGAAACTCTAAACATCATAGCATCTCTCCTCCTCCAAAGGAATGCAGCTCCTCACCAGCAACGGAACAAATCTTGATGGAGAATGACTTTGATGAGTTGAGAGAGGAAGGCTTCAGAAGATCAAACTACTCTGAGCTAAAGGAGGAAGTTCAAACGAATGGCAAAGAAGTTAAAAACTTTGAAAAAAATTAGATGAATGGCTTACTAGAATAACCAATGCAGAGGAGTCCTTAAAGGACCTGATGGAGCTGAAAACCATGACACAAGAAATATGTGATGAATGCACAAGCCTCAGGAGCCGATACGATCAACTGGAAGAAAGGGTATCAGCGAAGAAAGATGAAATGAATGAAATGAAGCATGAAGAGAAGTTTAGGGAAAAAAGAATAAAAAGAAACAAACAAAGCTTCCAAGAAATATGGGACTATGTGAAAAGACCAAATCTATGTCTAATTGGTGTACCTGAAAGTGACGGGGAGAATGGAACCATGTTGGAAAACAATCAGCAGGATATTATCCAGGAGAACTTCCCCAATCTAGTAAGGCAAGCCAACATTCACATTCAGGAAATACAGAGAACACCACAAAGATACTCCTCAAGAGGAGCAACTCCAAGACACATCATTGTCAGATTCACCAAAGTTGAAATGAAGGAAAAGATGTTAAGGACAGCCAGAGAGATAGGTCGGGTTACCCACAAAGGGAAGCCCATCAGACTAACAGCTGATCTCTCACCAGAAACTCTACAAGCCAGAAGAGAGTGGGGGCCAATATTCAACATTCTTAAAGAAAAGAATTTTCAACCCAGAATTTCATATCCAGCCAAACTAAGCTTCATAAGTGAAGGAAAAATAAAATCCTTTACAGACAAACAAATGCTGAGAGATTTTGTCACCATCAGACCTGCAATAAAAGAGCTCCTGAAGGAAGCACTAAACATGGAAAGGTAAAACTGGTACCAGCCACTGCAAAAACATGCCAAATTGTAAAGATCATCGAGGCTAGGAAGAAACTGCATCAACTAATGAGCAAAATAACCAGCTAACATCATAATGACAGGATCAAATTCACACTTAACAATACTAACCTTAAATGGAAATGGGCTAAATGCTCAAATTAAAAGGCACAGACTGGCAAATTGGATAAAGAGTCAAGACTCATCAGTGTGCTCTATTCAGGAAACACATCTCATGTGCAGAGACACACACAGGCTCATCATAAAGGGATAGAAGAACATCTACCAAGCAAATGGAAAAGAAAGAAAGGCAGGGGTTGCAATCCTAGTCTCAGATAAAACAGACATTAAACCAACAAAGATCAAAAGAGACAAAGAAGGCCATTACATAATGGTAAAGCGATCAATTCAACAAGAAGAACTAACTATCATAAATATATATGCACCCAATACAGGAGCATCCAGATTCATAAAGCAAGTCCTTAGTGAACTACAAAGAGACTTAGACTACCACACAATAGTAATCGGAGACTTTAACACCCCACTGTCAACATTAGACAGACCAACACAACAGAATGTTAACAAGGATATCCAGGAATTGAACTCAGCTCTGCACCAAGCGGACCTAAGAGGCATCTACAGAACTCTCCATCCCAAATCAACAGAATATACACTATTTTCAGCACCACACCACACATATTCCAAAATTGACCACATAGTTGAAAGTAAAGCACTCCTCAGCAAATGTAAAAAAAAAAAAAAGAAATCATAACAAACTCTCTCAGACCACAATGCAATCAAACTAGAACTCAGTATTAAGAGATTCACTCAAAACTGCTCCACTACATGGAAACTGAAGAACCTACTCCTGAATGACTACAGGGTACATAACGAAATGAAGGCAGAAATAAAGATATTCTTTGAAAGCAACGAGAACAAAGATAAAACATTCCAGAATCTCTGGGACACATTCAAAGCAATGTGTAGAGGGAAATTTATAGCACTAAATGTCCACAAGAGAAAGCAGGAAAGATCTAAAATTGACACCTTAACATCACAATTAAAAGAACTAGAGAAGCAAGAGCAAACACATTCAAAAGCTAGTAGAAGTCAAGAAATAACAAAGATCAGAGCAGAACTGAAGGAAATAGAGCCACAAAAAACCCTTCAAAAAATCAATGAATTCAGGAGCTGTTTTTTTGAAAAGATCAACAAAATTGATAGACCGCTAGCAAGACTAATAAAGAAGAAAAGAGAGATGAATCAAATAGACGCAATAAAAAATGACAAAGGGGATATCACGACTGATCCCACAGAAATACAAACTACCGTCAGAGAATACTATAAAGAACTCTACATAAATAAACTAGAAAATGTAGAAGAAGTGGATAAATTCCTCGACACATACACTCTCCCAAGGCTAAACCAGGAAGAAGTTGAATCTCTGAATAAACCAATAACAGGCTCTGAAATTGATGCAATAATTAATAGCTTACCAAAAAAAAAAAAAAAAGTCCAGGACCAGATGGATTCACAGCCGAATTCTACCAGAGGTACAAGGAGGAACTGGTACCATTCCTTCTGAAATTATTCCAATCAATAGAAAAAGAGGGAATCCTCCCTAACTCATTTTACGAGGTCAGCATCATTCTGATACCAAAGCTGGGCAGAGACACAACAAAAAAAGACAATTTTAGACCAATATCCTTGATGAATATTGATGCAAAAATCCTCAATAAAATACTGGCAAACTGAATCCAGCAACACATCAAAAAACTTATCCACCATGATCAAGAGGGTTTATCCCTGGGGATACAAGACTGGTTCAACATAGAAAAATCAATAAATGTAATCTAGCATATGAACAGAATCAAAGCCAAAAACTACAAGATTATCTCAATAGATGCAGAAAAGGCCTTTGACAAAATTCAACAACACTTCATGCTAAAACCTCTCAATAAACTAGGTATTGATGGGACGTATCTCAAAATAATAAGAGCTATCTATGACAAACCCACAGCCACTATCATACTGAATGGACAAAAACTGGAAGCATTCCCTTTGAAATACTGGCACAAGACAGGGATGCACTCTCTCACCACTCCTATTCAACATAGTGTTGGAAGTTCTGGCCAGTGCAATCAGGCAGGAGAAGGGAATAAAAGGCATTCAATTAGGAAAAGAGGAAGTCAAATTGCTCCTGTTTGCTGCTGACATGATTGTATATCTGGAAAACCCCATTGTCTCAGCCCAAAATCTCCTTAAGCTGATAAGCAACTTCAGCAAAGTCTAAGGATACAAAATCGTTGTGCAAAAATCACAAGCATTCTTATACACCAATAACAGACAAACAGAGAGCCAAATCATAAGGGAACTCCCATTCAAAATTGCTTTAAAGAGGATAAAATACCTAGGAATCCAACTTACAAAGGATGTGAAGGACCTCTTCAAGGAGAACTGCAAACCACTGCTCAATGAAATAAAAGAGGATACAAACAAATGGAAGAACATTCCATGCTCGTGCGTAGGAAGAATCAATATTGTGAAAATGGCCATACTGCCCCAGGTAATTTATAGATTCAATGCCATCCCCATCAAGCTTCCAATGACTTTCTTCACAGAATTGGAAAAAAAACTACTTTAAAGTTCATATGGAACCAAAAAAGAGACTGCATCACCAAGTCAATCCTGAGCCAAAAGAACAAAGCTGGAGGCATCACACTACCTGACTTCAAACTATACTACAAGGCTACAGTAACCAAAACAGCATGATACTGGTAACAAAACAGAGATATAGACCAATGGAACAGAACAGAGCCCTCAGAAATAATGCCGCATATGTACAACTATCTGATCTTTGACAAACCTGACAAAAACAAGTAATGGGGAAAGGATTCCCCATTTAATAAATGGTGCTGGAAAAACTGGCTAGCCATATGTAGAAAGCTGAAACTGGATCCTTTCCTTACACCTTATACAAAAATTAATTCAAGATGGATTAAAGACTTAAATGTTAGAGCTAAAACCATAAAAACTCTAGAATTAGACCTAGGCAATACCATTCAGGACATAGGCATGGGCAAGGACTTCATGTCTAAAACACCAAAAGCAATGGCTACAAAAGCCAAAATTGACAAATGGGATCTAATTAAACTAAAGAGCGTCTACACAGAAGAAACCACCATCAGAGTGAACAGGCAAAATATGGAATGGGAGAAATTTTTTGCAATCTACTCATCTGACAAAAGGCTAATATCCAGAATCTACAATGAACTCAAACAAATTAACAAGAAAAAAACAAACAACCCCATCAACAAGTGGGTGAAGGATATGAAAAGACACTTCTCAAAAGAAGACATTTATGCAGCCAAAAAACACATGAAAAAATACTCACCATCACTGCCCGTCAGAGAAATGCAAATCAAAACCTCAATGAGATACCATCTCACACCAGTTAGGTTGGCGATCATTAAAAAGTCAGGAAATGACAGGTGCTGGAGAGGATGTGGAGAAATAGGAACATTTTTACACTGTTGGGACTGTAAACTAGTTCGACCATTGTGGAAGTCAGTGTGGCGATCCCTTAGGGATCTAGAACTAGAAATACCATTTGACCCAGCCATCCCATTACTGGGTATATACCCAAAGGACTATAAATCATGCTGCTATAAAGACACATGCACACGTATGTTTATTGAGACATTATTCACAGTAGCAAGGACTTGGAACCAACACAAATGTCCAACAATGATAGACTGGATTAAGAAAATGTGGCACATATGCACCATGGAATACTATGCAGCCATAAAAAAGGATGAGTTCATGTCCTTTGTAGGGACATGGATGAAGCTGGAAACCATCATTCTCAGCAAACTATCACAAGGACAAAAAACCAAACACTGCATGCTCTCACTTATAGGTGGGAATTGAACAATGAGAATACATGGAAACAGGAAAGGGAACATCACACACCAGGTCCTGTTGTGAGGTGGGGGAGGGGGGAAGGATAGCATTAGGAGATATACCTAATGCTGAATGACGAGTTAATGGGTGCAGCAAACCAACATGTCACATGTATACATATGTAAAAAACCTGCACGTTGTGCGTCTGTACCCTAAAAGTTAAAGTATAATAATAATAAAAAAAGTTTAGTCTTTTGCTATTTTTTAGTTGGGTATTATAATTACTATTGTTTAGCTTCTGATTTGTATGAGTTTCTGCTATATTTTGAATACTAACCTCTTATCATATATGGTTTGCAAATGTTTTATCCCATCTTAAATGTTTTCTTATTTTTTGCTGTACACAATAGTTTAATACACTACAATTTTGTGTCTTGTTTTATTGCTATACTTTTGATATCATATTTAAAAAAAAAATTGCCAAGGCCAGTATCATGGATGCTTTTCATATGCTTTTCTAAAAATTTTCTTTTAAGGATTTATGTATTAAATTTAAGTCTTTATTTTAAGTCAATTTTTGTGTCTGGTGTAGGAAATATGACCAAGTTTTATTATTGTGCTTGCGAGTATCCAGTTTTCTCAGCACTAAGTATTGAAAAGGCTACACTTTTTGTATTGCGTATTCATAGTGCCCTTGTCAAAGATTAACTTTAGGTGCATAGATTTACTTCTGGGCTCTGTATTCTGTTCCATTGGTTTTTGTGTTTGTTCCTATAAACATTCCATTCTATTACGTTTACTGTAGTCTTGAAATGTAGTTTTAAATAATAAAGTATAATGTCCCCAGATTTCGTTTTATTCTTCATGATTGCTTTGGACATTCAATATTTCTTATAGGTTTATATACTTTGCAGACTTTATTTTCTATTACTGTAAAAAGTGGCACAGGAATTTTGATAGGAAGTTGAATTAATCTACAGATTGCTTTGGATAATATGGCACTTAGACAATATTCTTCTAATCCATAAATATGTAATATATTTACATTTATTTGTATCTTCTTTATTTTTTATCAATATATTTTATTTTTTATTGTAAAGATCTTTCACCACATTGGTTAAATTTATTGCTAAGAAATCTATTATTTTGTTGCTCTTGTAAATGAGATTTTTTTTTCTATTTTACTGGTTTGTCGCTAGCATATAGAAACAAAACTGATATGTGTATGCTAATTGTATATTCCGCTTCTTTACTGAGTGCATTTATTAGATACACTATTTATATATAGATGCATTAAATGCATTATTTAAATGTACTATTTATGTTTTTTATATATAACATTATGTCATCTACAGACAGTGACGTTATTTCTTCTTTTCAGTATGGATCTTTTAGCCTTTCTTGCTTAATTATTTGATGTAGGACTTAATTATTCTATGTAGGACTTCCAGTTCTATGTTAAAATAGAACCGTTAGAATGGGCATAATGTAGACTTGCATTGGTATTTGCACATTTGAAGGAGCAAACACCTGTTTTCATTTTTGTTGTTGTTGTTGTTGTTTTGTTTTTGAGACGGAGTCTCACTCTGTCACACAGGCTGGAGTGCTGTGGCACGATCTTGGCTCACTGCAACCTCCGCCTCCTGGGTTCAAGCAATTCTCTACCTCAGCATCCCAAGTAGCTGGGATTACAGGCGCCAACCATCATGCCTGGCTAATTTTTGTATTTTTATTAGAGACAGTGTTTCGCCATCTTGGCCAGGCTGGACTTGAACTCCTGACCTCATGGTTCACCCACCTAGGCCTCCCAAAGTGCTGGGATTACAGGTGTGAGCCACCGTGCCCAGCCACCTCTGTTCATTTTTATAAACTGGTTTTAGTAGGTAAAGATCTTCATCTGTTGGGTCTCAAGGCTGATGAGATCTTTACTGGGTTTGCAGTAAAAAGGCTTGTAGCTGCGTCACAAGTTGGCTGCCGAATCTGAAGTGGGTTTTACCTTTAGTGGGCTTGTTACCAGGAGCACGTGTGGTTGTGAGTTATGTCATGTTTTTGAGCAGGCTGGATTATCTTCAGGGCTTTGTTTTGTGGAGCAGGCACTAGGGTAGGTTCTGCTATATGCTGGGTCTAATAGCAGATATGTGGGTGAGTGTGGCTCCCACTGAGTACCTAGCAGGTTTTCCCCAGGTTATCTACAAAGAGTGACTTTTGAACTGTTTCATGTGAGTCACGAGTATGATGTCCCCAGCTTTTTTCTTATTCCTCATGATTGGCTTGGTCATTCAGCCTACATTGTAGGCTTGCATTTTCTATTACTATAAAAAGTGGGACAGGGATTTTGATACGGATTTGAGTTAGCTTACAGATTGCTTTGGATAATATGACACCTTATTAACCAAAAGCCCTGCCTTCTCAAAATGACCCTTTTCGATCTTGGGTTTTAGCAATGTTTCATAATGCCCTGTATCCCAAAGCTCACTATATTGCCCAGGCTGTTCTTGAACTCCTGGCCTGGCAGTCCTCCCACCTCAGGCTCCTGAATGGAGGAGATTACTGTCATGAGCCACAGTGCCTGGATCTCTCATAAAGTTACTTTGCTTGATGGATGGCTGACTAGTTTTTATTGCTGCAGGGGAATACAAAATTAGGGACCCCCTATTCCACCACTTTGATAATGTCACTCTCTCCGTACACTTCTTCCTTATTTTGTTCTCTTGTATGTTTGTGTGTTATTTTAGGTTCAAATATTAAGACCAATAGGCTAGGATTTATACATTGTGTAAAAAGTAAATTAGATAGCTAGTGGGTACCCTATATATATTATAATGTTTACCTATAAGATTAAGTTTAGTGCAGGCAAAAAGGGCTCATTAAAATTTTCATCCACTTTTTTCAACCTCTATCCAAACTATAATTTGTGCCCCAATTTTTATTTTATCAATTATTCTTAACCGTATTTCATAAAATTTATATTTTTTTCTTTATTTACAAATGTAAGGCTATTATTTGCTTTTAAAGGCTGTAATACAGCTTTTTTAATTTGTGAAATAATAGCACCAATATTATAGATATTTATAGTGTAAATACTTATTCATTAAAGTCTACCCATTAGAGAATTTTATTAATTATTGTAGTGCATTTCTGTAAAATTGTACCACCACACACCACAGGGCAATGATTCAAAATGCCTGGTCTTCACACATGCACAGTCACAGTTGAACATTGTAGTTATTTAGAAAAATTCTTTTCTAGTGTTATATCAATGTTCCAAACAAGATTTTATGGGTAAATATTTCTCCCATTCTAGTTTTGCAATTCCATGTTAACTGTATTTTTATTTTACGTTACATTCCTTGACATTGATTTATAGAATTTTTGGTTTTACTTAAGTATTATTTTGGATGACAATGTGCAGCAACTTTTAATGTACAGTTTATGTCAATGTGCAGTTTAATTACAATATGAATCAGCCATATATTTATTCACAATTCAAGTTGTATAAACCATGAAATCTAAGCAAACTAACGTTACATGATAAAGCCCCAATCAGCTATCTTATACTTAAGCAAATACACCAAAAAATAGTTTGTAGCTTTATTGCTGCTTTTGTTCAAACTATGTTTTATATTCCGTATGACCAAGGAAATTTCTGACATTGTCCTACCAGGCTAAAGAAACAAACAAAAAGACAATGATTATACTTTCAAGTCGCAGTTTGTTTAGAGCCCCACATATTCCATCTGTAGACCACTATGCTCATATTTGTTTGTTTTAATAAGGCTGTAGCCCAAAACCTTACATTTTTGTGGAAATTAAAGCTTTTCAGTTCCATACTAAAGACAGGACAGCCCCATGATCTAAATCCAAGGGTGATGGTTTAGAGTGAGGACGATTTCTTGTTGACACGGAGATGGTTGAGTTCTTCTACAATAAATCTATGGGAGAGGCAGGTTGTGATGAGTTGGAAGTGTTGGTTGCCTTCATGGTCTCAAAGTTCTCTGTCAAGTTCACCTCAGCACTGCTGTACTTCTGTTCTGCTGTCAGGTTGGGAATGCTTGGCCAGTAGTGGTTCTCCACACGGTCCTCAACTACCGGTGCTTCTCTGATCCACTGCCTGTCAGAAATGCAATTGTAGCAGAGGAGGCTGGTAAGGGGACAGAAGCCAGAGATGGTAACTGGCCACCGCCTGGCTGAGGAAGAGAGTGGTGGGCTCTCAATCCTAGCTCACATGCCAAGTGCCATTCTCATCCCAGCACCCAGCGGTGTCCCCCATAATGTGCACTGCCTGGCCTGAGGTAAATGGAGAGCTCAGCTAAGGCCTAAAATTGAAAAGGGGCTTTCCAGAGGCCCCAGTGTGCTGGATATCTCACCAGCCATGGAAAGAGTCTGTGTCCTTGAGGCCACAGACAGGCAATGATGGGAGCCTGCCCACATTTCAGGGCCTTCTGGAGTCTTCACTTGAGAGTTCAGCTCTGGCAACAGGACACTTCAGGTGTCCAGAGATTCTCAGTGCCTGGAGGATGTAAAACTGATTGATGGCATCTGCTGGCTTCTGGGAGCACTGCTTGGCCATCCTTATCTGTGAGCCCCAGCCAAGGCACTGCAGAAAGCTTGGTCTCTGGCTAGAATTATGGACTGTGAGACAGGGTGGTTGCAGCTAGCACTGGATGGAGAGAGTACAGTGTGCTGAGGTGGGGACAGTGGGCATTCTGCCACATGGCCTGGGGTTTCTTGTGACTCTGGACTGCCCAGGTGCGGTGACCAGAAGGCAATCCATTTCTAGGCCACAGCTGAAGGAGGGAGAACACAGGCTGAGCCTGGTGATGGTCCTGAGTTGAGGAGATGAAGCTGGGAGTCCAGGGAGACTAAAGAAGCTCAGATAAACTCCGCAGGGCAGAGTATTCAGGGCATGAAGAGGACAAAGTCACAAAACATAAAAGCTCCAGAGTCTTCAGCTAAATACTGACAAGCACATGTATGTGTGTGAACTACAAGTTGGGGGGTGGGTGGGAATACCTGAAGGAAACAGAAAGAAGAATGCTTGAACCTCCCACAGAACCAGACATATTTGGTGTTCCCACCAGCAACAGTGGACAAATCTTATACTTCCCAGACCATTGGATGGAACACTCAGAAAAGAAATGCCTCAGTAGTGTGGAAGATTAGATCTAGGCCGAGGCTGCTAAGGTCCTACTTAACAAGACCTCAAAGAAAACCCTCAAAGAGCCAAAATCTTTCCAGATAATTTAACTACATCTTAGAACATAGCTTAATAATATTTATAGGAACCCAACAATATCAAACAGACAATAAGATACATTTCACGTTGTCTGTCATCCAGCTGAAAATTACCAGGCATGTGAAGAAAAAGAAAATGTCTCAATAATGAGAAGAAAACTTGATCAATAGAAACAGAAATGGCAAATAAGACAGAATTAGTAGGAAACGATATTAAAACAGTTATTGTAATGATAACATTCCACAAGAAGAAGGTAAAGGGAAGCTAGAACATGGAAGTAGAGACATGGAAGATCCAGCTTGAACTTCTAGAGATGAAAAATACAATGTCTGAGATGAAAAATATACTAAATGGCATTTAAAATAGAATAGATATTATACAAAAAAGGATTAGTCAACTGGAAGATGTAACAGTAGAAACTATCAAAAATAGAAAGTGGAGAAAACAATGAAAAAAATTGAACAGAAAATCAGCACCAACAGGACTAATATATTTGTAATTGGAGTTCCTGAAGAAGGTTGGGAGGAGTAGAAGAAAAAAATATTTGAAAAAATTGTGGCTGAAAAAATTTAAATTTGAGAAAAACTGTAAATCCAGAGATCTAAGAACCAATGAACCTCCAGCACAAGAGACATGAGGATGACACACTGAAGCACATCATAATCAAATTGTCCCAAACCAGTGACAAAGAGAATATCTGAAAAGTTACCAAAGGGAAAAGAACATTATACAGAGAGAAACAAAGATGAAAATAGGCTGAGCGTGGTGGCTCACACCTGTAATCCAGCACTTTGGGAGGCTGATGCAGGATGATCACTTGAGCCCAGGAGTTCAAGAACAGCCTGGGCAATATGGCAAAACCCCGTCTCTACTAAAAATACAAAAAATAGCAGGGCATGGTGGCACACATCTGTAACCCCAGCTACTCAGGAGGCTGAGGCAGGGAGAATCGCTTGAACCTGGGAGACGGAAGTTGCAGTGAGCTGAGATGGCGCCATTGCACTCCAGCCTGGGCAACAGAGTGAGACTCTTTCTCAAAAAAAAAAAAAAAAAAGATGGCAAACATCTTGTTAGAAACAACACAAGGCCAGGCATGGTGGCACATGCCTGTTATCCCAGCACTTTGGAAGGCCAAGGCAGGATGATCAGTTGAGCCTCAGATCCTGTTTCTGTGAAGTGGTATAATGTTGATGGCAGCCAATGCTAAGTTAAATACATATACTGTATTATTCTGTTCTTGCACTGCTATAAAGAAATGTCTGACACTTTTCAAAAGAAGACATTTATGCAACCAAAAAACAAATGAAAAAATGCTCATCATCACTGGCCATCAGAGAAATGCAAATCAAAACCACAATATCATCACTGGCCATCAGAGAAATCCAAATCAAAAGCACAATGAGATACCATCTCACACCAGTTAGAATGGCGATCATTAAAAAGTCAGGAAACAACAGGTGCTGGAGAGGATGTGGAGAAATAGGACCACTTTTACATTGTTGGTGGGACTGTAAACTAGTTCAACCATTGTGGAAGTCGGTGTGGTGATCCCTCAGTTACCTAGAACTAGAAATATCATTTTACCTAGCCATCCCATTACTGGGTATATACCCAAAGGATTATAAATCATGCTGCTATAAAGACACATGTACACATAAGTCTATTGCGGCACTATTCACAATAGCAAAGACTTGGAACCAACACAAATGTCCAACAATGATAGACTGGATTAAGAAAATGTGGCACATATACACCATGGAATACTCTGCAACTATAAAAAATGATGAGTTCATGTCCTTTGTAGGGCCATGGATGAGGCTGGAAACCATCATTCTCAGTGAACTATTGCAAGGACAAAAAACAAAACACCACATGTTCTCATTCATAGGTGGGAATTGAACAATGAGAACACATGGATACAGGAATGGGAATATCACACACCGGGGACGGTTGTGGAGTGGGGGGAGGGGGGTGGGATAGCATTAAGAGATATACCTAATGCTAAATGATGAGTTAATGGGTGCAGCACACCAACATGACACATGTATACATATGTAACAAACCTGCACTTTGTGCACATGTACTCTAAAACTTAAGGTATAATAATAATAATTTAAAAAATAATAATAAATAAATTCAAAGAAAAAGAAATGTCTGAGACTGGGGCTGGGCATGGTGGCTCAAGCCTGTAATCCCAGCACTTTGGGAGGCTGGGGTGGGTGGATTATGAGTTCAAGAGATTGAGACCGTCCTGGCCAACATGATGAAACCATATGTCTACTAAAAATACAAAAAAAATAGGTGGGATTGGTGGCATATGCCTGTAGTCCCAGCTAAGCTACTTGGGAGGCTGAGGTAGCAGAATCACTTGAACCAGGGAGGCGGGGTTGCAGTGAGCCGAGATCGCACCACTGCACTGCAGCCTGGGCGACAGAGTGAGACTACGTCTCAAAAAAAGAAAATGAGACTGGGTAATTTATGAAGAAAGGAGGTTTAATTGGCTCACAGTTCTGCAGGCTGTACAGGAAGCGTGATTCTGTCATCTGCTTGGCTTCTGGGGAGGCCTCAGGGAGCTTACAATCATGACGGAAGGCAAAGGGGAAGCAAGCATATCTTATTTGACTGGAGCAGGAGGAAGAGAGTGAGGGGGAGGTGCCACAAACTATTAAACAACCAGATCTTGTGAGAACTCACTCGCTATATAGTACCAAGCGGGGATGGTATTAAACCATGAGAAACTGGCTCCATGATCCAATCACCTCCCTCCAGGCCCCACGCTTGGCATTGGGGATTACGTTTCCACGTGAGATTTGGGTAGAGACACAGATCCAAACCATATGATATACCATAAACCATAGAGCAATGATTAAAACTCAAAACCAAACCAAGCAAAAATAGTTATATGTAAAAGGCCAACAAAGAAGATTAAATGAAATAAAAATACTCAACAAATTCAAAAGAAGTCAGAGAAAGAGGAAAAGGAGAACGAACTACAGATGGGACAAATAGAAAGCAAACAGGAAGTAGACCAATTAAAACCAAACTCTCTGGCATTCCACCAGTTGCTCGTGATTATGTAGCAACCCTCTGCCTCCGACAACAATACCTGTCACACAGGGTCGTCATCAGAGCTTGCCACATGTGATATGGAAAGCCTGCTGTTTGCAGACCTGCAATCATTATACATTAGCTCTTATCGTTGGTAGCGGAGACCCAGGTCTCTGTGTTGGTCATGCTGAGAGCTCCTTCTCATTGCTTTGTTTTCCTCCTACTTTAATCCTTTTCTGTATTTCCACGCCCCACACCATCTGGCTGGAGAAGATTCTCAGCCTCCCGGTCTACAAATGTTCAAAGTCCATGAATCAAGTAGCAAACAAATGTATTTCTGTACGTTTATCTGCTACCCAGGGATCCAGGAGAAATGCTTTCCTTCCTTCAAGAAGTCCGTGGCTGCTGATGCCAAGAATGCTCTCTCTGTCCTCTTGTCTTTTCTGATCTGCATATTCTCAACTGCCCTGCATTTCTGGGAAGACTTTACACAGGGACAACTATGAGTTTTTGTAAGAAGATGAGAAGTCACCACTTTGGGAACCATCCATTAGACGTTCCAATATTGCTGCAGATAGGGACTCTAGCATGTTCTCTTCTTCTCTGACACCCACCCCTTCCCCCATTGGCCACAGCAACTTGGGTTTGCTCTTCAGCTACGGCAGTGCCTACCCCTGGGGAACTGTGACTTGCTTTCTACCCTGTCCAATAACACAGTGTGTCCTTATACAGAGTAGGTGTTCAATATACATCTGATGAAGGGATTTCATCACAGTTAAATCTGTGGAGAGTTCAGCAGATAAGTGAGTTGCTCAAGATGGTCAGAGGCTGTCTCATTCCATTTGGGCTGCCGTAACAAAATACCTTAGCCTAGGGGGCTTATAAGCAGCAGAAATTTATGTCTCATAGGTCTGGATGCTGGCAAGTGGAAGGTCGAGGTAGTGGCAGATTGGGTGTCTGTTGAGGGCCTGTTCCTTATAGCGGGCACTTCCTAGCTGTGTCCTCACATGGTGGAAGGAGAACACGCTCCCTTGGCTCCCTTTTACAAGGCCACTTATCCCGTTCACGGGTCTTTGCTTTCATGATGAAATCACTTCCTAAAGTCATTGCCTCCTAATTCAAATCTAACCTATCAGGGGTTAGGTTTCAACACACGGATTGTAGGGGCACACAAACATTGACTATAGCAGAGACATAGCTGGACCTGGGTCTGGGACCTTCTGGGTCCAGCTCCATTATGACACTCACACTGCACATGGTCTCCCAAATGATGTAATTCTGTTCTGTGACATTGTGCCCATGAGGCAGGGATGCAGTAGAGGCCTCTGCAGTCATGGCTTGTTCTTGGGACATCCGCCTGGCTTTGTGCTGCAGGCCTGGAAGAATCCACCAGCTGCCCACTCTCATGCCTGACTCAGGTTCGTGGGTCCCTCCAGGCACATGTCAGATAGCCCACTCAATTTTTTACTTGCCCCACTTCCCTGGGTTCCCTTCTGAACTCAGGAACCATGGAGGGAGCTGAGAGTCTCTGTTTTTAGTTCATGCTCTTGTCTCCTATTTGGGAACAATGCCCAGGCAAGGCAATCTCTTTCCTACTGTTTTCTAAGAACATCAGGGGCTTCCTCCAAACTCTTCACCCACTCCCTCCACTAATCCCTTCTCCCTCAGGGACACAGGGCACAAGCCCACCTCCTGTTTGAAGATCCTGCCACAGGGTGGATCTTTGGTTTTCTGTGGGTATCCACAGAAGAAGCTAAAGGTGAATGTACTCCGGAATCCAGGAGCTCTGGCGATTTTCTCTCCTTAGCTCAGCTAGCATCCCCACAGATACCCCTCGCCCCACTCCAGGCCCCTTGAATCCATACCATAAAATGTATGTCAGTTTGTTCAACTAAGGACCCCGCTGAGTATTTAATCCCTATTTAAGGATGATGTTTATTTTATTTTTGAGTTTAAATTAATCAGCCTCAGGATACACAATTAGATAAGGCTGGGATTTAGCTCCCCTGGAATGATTTATTTCACATCAAGCCTTCTTAACTCTTTGGCTGCAGAGGGGAAGTGCCTGCATCTTTCTCTGCAGAGTTGCCTAGGGCTGGCCAGGTGAACAGACACGCTCCCTCCTCCCCATCGTGCCAGCCAGGACACGGTGTGTGCTTATGATGCAGGGAGTTAGAATACTAGCCTTTTCATCACAACAGTCATAAATCCTCACATAGGGAAATACAGATAATATACAAGTAGGAAAAAAAGAAAAAGAAGCAGTCTTGAATTCTGCTACCTAAAGATAACCATTGTTACCATGTAGGCAAGCTTCCTTTCATGCTGTGTCAAGTGTTTAAAAAATATGCCTCAATATTACAAACACACAGGATTGCGCAAAGGAAAATGATATCAAACTTTCATGTACCTCCCAGTTAAAATTCAAACGTGGTAGATTTTGGATGCATTTGCTCCAGAGTTTAAGGGAAGAAAACTACGGATTCAGCCATAATGTTCATGCTGAACCTCGAGTTATATGTCCCTTTTCTAGCCCAGTTACCGCCTCCCTCCCCACTATTCTGAAGTCAATGTGTGTCTTTCCATCCATGTTTAATACCCAGTGTGCATGTCCATGAAGAATGGATAGTGTTCTTTGGTCTGTTTTTGCAATTTTATACAAATAGCAGTCCATACATACTCTCCTGAAAGTTGCTTTTCCCTTCAACAATATCTTCCAGATGAATCTAGAATTCTGCATTTCTGGTGAGCAGAGGATGTGCGAACCCACTGCAACCCCCACCCCAAGGTGATGCTGATGTTCTGGTCCAAGACCTGCACGTAGCCTGGTGAGGCTTGGAGTCTTGGGACAGGTCTGCTGTCAGCCCTTCCTTCCTAGGAAGCACAGCCAGATGACCTTGGGGCTGGAGACCTCACAATGCCCCTCGCCAGCAGTGCGCACATCCGTCTTCACTCATCTTCATCAATATTTGTTATCGCACTTTCTGATATTGTTCCTGGATTTTGCTGTGCTGCTGAATGCGTGCCTTGTGTTTCCCAGCCCTTCGGGTCTCCTCCTCTGTGAATTGCTCCTGGCCCATATGTCTGTTGGGTCTTTGGTTTCTCCTTGCTGACTTGTAGTGCTATTTTTTTTTTTTAAGACGGAGTTTTGCACTTGTTGCCTAGGTGGGAGTGCAATGGCATGATCACGGCTCACCGCAACTTCTACCTCCCGGGTTCAAGCGATTCTCCTGCCTCAGCCTCCTGAGTAGCTGGGATTACAGGTAAGTGCCACCACGCCCGGCTAATTTTGTATTTTTAGTAGAGACAGGGTTTCTCCATGTTGGTCAGACTGGTCTCGAACTCCCGACCTCAGGTGATCCACCCACCTCAGCTTCCCAAAGTGCTGGGATTACAGGCATGAGCCACCACGTCTGGCCATTTTGATTTTAATGATCTGGATATCAATGCTTTTTTGGCCAAATATCTTACAAATATGTTTTCCCTATTGGTGCACTCTATCAGTCCATTTTCACACTGCCAATAAAGACATACCCCAGATTGGGAAGAAAAAGAGGTTTAATTGGACTTACAGTTCCACATGACTGAAGAGGCCTCAGAATCATGGTGGGAGGTGAAAGGCACTTCTTACATGGCAGTGGCCAGAGAAAAATGAGGATGATGCAAAAGTGGAACCCCCTGATAAAACTGTCAGATCTCTTGAGATTTATTCACTACCAGGAGAACAGTATGGGGGAACCGCCCCCATGATTCCAATTGTCTCCCACCAGGTCCCTCCCACAACACAGGAGAATTATGGGAGGACAATTCAGGATGAGATTTGGGTGGGGACAGGCAGCCAAACCATATCATGCACTTTCTTTGTCTTTTAACTTTATTCATCACCTCTTTTGTCAGATCAAAGCTTCTACATTTAATACGATCGAATTTATCAGTAATTTCTTTTATGATGTCTGTGTTTTGTGTCATATTAAAAAAAGTTTTTCTCTGTTTAGTGCCATAAAATCTGTCCTCTGTTTTCTTCTAAAAATTGGAAATCTGCTTTTCATATTTTGTTTTATTTCCTTTGTTCTTTGATTCATAGGGATGTGAGGTAGAAATCTCTATTAGTTAACTCTTGCTCTGTAACAAGTAACCCCACACCTCAGAGGCCTAAGACCATAGGCCACCATTTCTCACTCATGAGCATGGGTTGCTTGGGAGGTTTCAGTTCGAACTGTGGTGGCTGAGCTGGATCTGCTCCAAGTGTCTCTGATCCTCCTCAGGTTGGGGCCTGCCAGGGTGCCTTCTTCTCATGGCAATGGCAGGAGTGCAAAGAACAAAGGGAAATGTGAAGGTCTCTTATCTTAAAACCCAGGCTCAGAATGTGCAGACTACCACTTTACCACATCCATTGGCCAAAGTAAGTCCCATGGCCAAACCAGAAGTCAAGGGCAGGAAGTTTAACTATGAATGCCATCTCCACGTGCTATGATTTCCTGGGCTTTCAACTTCTTAAGGCTGAATTGTTTTATTCTCACCTCCCCAGCCTGCAGAAAATACATTTTCTCCAGGACTCATTGAGCCATAGGGCAGAATGATTGTGGTTGACAAGGACTAGATGGAACTCAAGGCTCCAGCCTCTGTGCAGTGGACAGGTGCCATCTGGCCACTGAGGCCACTTCCTTCCCCTTGTCCTCTTCTAGGGCCTCTGTTCTGCACCAATCTCACTGTCATTCTGCCCAGGCCTTCCAGGCATCAGCCTCTTAATAGTTCCTGGTTTTGTTCCCTCTCTTCACTTCTATTATGTGAGGGTTTCCATCCTTATTTGGTGTAGGAGGACTTGGCTGAGTCAACTCAGCCTATCACGTCCCCAGTCTCAGCACTTGGGTACCCCTGAGTGCTCAGCATGAGTGGAGTCTCCCGGTGTCTCCCTCCACAGCACGTTCTGAAGGCATAGGAGCTGGACTGACATTTGGGACTCCTAAACCTTTGTCCAACTTCTGTCATGACAGCTTCATTGGTCCAGGCAAATCAAGGCAGCTCTCTATGCCTCATTTTTTTATTCCTCACACAATGGAATGACATAACCCTCAGTGCTTACCTAAGGGAGGAGAAATGATTCCCCTGCCTTCTCCCCATTTCTGCATTTGCCAGAGCATCAGATATTTGTGTCTGGCCAAGAATATAGGGAAGGAAGAGCAGGTAAGCTTTGGGCACAAAGAGGGCATTTAGGGGTTTCACTTAAGGAAAGAAAGTCAGGGTGCAGAGATGGGTGGTGGAGCATGATCTTGGGCCAATGGTGAGGAACTAATGAAGTGCAATGTTCATGGGTTAGGTTGTGTAGCAGCCTGGGTCCCATCAAGAGATAGAAACCACATAGTGGGTCTAACGGGGAAGTGTAGTATAAAGGATTGTAACTGTGATAAAAGAGTCACTGTAAGACATAAAGCAACCCTGCCTGGTGCCCTAGTGCAGAGGGAGGTACCCAAGGAAGCACAGATTTGAAAGGTGTTCAGATGTCATAAAATGTGGTTCAGCCACCACATAAGAGACGTTCGTGGATTTGGGCAGGCTGGAGCTAGTCAGCAGCTTTTGCACAAGCACTAGGCCACCCACTGGAGTGCAGGTGAGGGAGCTGGCCGTGAACCGCTGGAATGCAGGGGAGGGAGCTGGCCGTGAGCCGCTGGTGTGCAAGGGAGGGAGCCGGCTGTGAGCCGCTGGTGTGCAGGGGAGGGAGCCGGCCAAGAGCCGCTGGTGCAGGTGAGGGAGCTGGCCATGAGCCGCTGGAATGCAGATGAGGGAGCTAGCCGTGAGCGTCTGGTGCAGGGATGCATGGCGGGAGTCTGGCTGCCTTTGTAGGGCAGGAAGCCTCCAGAATGCGTGAGTCCCGCAGGGTGTGGCAGAAGGAATGGCAGCTCTGTGCAGACCCTCTAGAATACAGGTCACTGTGTGCAGGTTGCACAAGGGGTACAAGATGGGGTCTGGGAAAATTTTCAGGAACTTTCAGATCACATGGGCCCTGCTGCATTTTGGTTTCCATGTCGAGATGTTGCAAGCCAAGGCTACAAGGTGGCTGAGGGACCACGTCTAGGTCTGTGGTTGGGGCTTGAACATGATCAAGGCCCAGCCAGAGAGCTCCTACCCACTGCAGTCTCTCCATCCTCTACCTAGATGCCTGCAGAATGTTCACTCCTAGAAGGCATATTGAACAGTGTTTCCCCGTTTATCACAGTGCACGTATTGAAAGGTGCAGTAAGAGCTGGGAGGCAACAGGCTGAAAACTGACACTGGAAACACTGGCTCATAGCAACGAAGAGAAGCTGAAAAGGAGTGGGAAGGAACTAACTGTAATTTTACATCAATGATCTACATCTTTGTTTCGATTGTTTGTGGCAACCAAAATGACTATTCTTTCTACCCTCCTAGTTCAGTCATAGCCTGAGACATTTTTTTTTTTTTTTTGAGATGAAGTCTCACTCTGTTACTCAGACTGGGGTGCAGTGGCTTGGTCTCGACTCATTGCAATCTCCACCTCCCGGATCCAAGTGATTCTCCTGCCTCAGCTTCCAGAGTAGCTGGGGCTAACAGGCACCCTCCACCACGACCGGCAAATTTTTGTATTATGAGTAGAGATAGGGTTTCTCCATGTTGGTCAGACTGGTCTTGAACTCCCGACCTCAGGTGATCTGCCCGCCTCTGCCTCCCAAAATGCTGAGATTACAGATGTGAGCCACTGTGCCCGGCCGCCTGAGATATTTTGGGCAACAGCTGTGACAGAAGAAATGTGCATCCCTTCCGTGCAGGGGATTTAAGAAGTGGCGTATGGCTGATTATGTTTTCTTTGCTCTGTTTCTGGAACTGTGGGAGCATTTTCTGGGATAAGGGTCTATCTGTTTGAGTCTCTGAATGACTACGACCACCAGAGCCCCCTTGTTGACCCGTGATGTATGCGAAATCAATTCAGAAGTAAAGGCCGGGTGTGGTGGCTCACACCTGTAATCCCAGCACTTTGGGAGGCTGAGGCGGGCAGCTCATGAGGTCAGGTAATCGAGACCATCCTGACTAACACGGTGAAACCCCATCTCTACTAAAAATATAAAAAATTAGCCGGGCATGGTGGCAGGCGCCTGTAGTCCCAGCTACTCAGGAGGCTGAGGCAGGAGAATCTCTTGAACTCAGGAAGTGGAGGTTACAGTGATCTGAGATTGCACCACTGCACTCCAGCCTGGGTGACAGAGCGAGACTCCATCCACCGCACCCCAACCCCAGCAAAAAAAAAAAAAAGAAAAAAAAAAAAGAAAAGAAGTCAACTTTGCTGTTGAAGCCACTGTGGTTTGGGGGCTTGTTTGTTACACAGCGTCACCTGTCCTGACCAATGCATGACTCATTTCATACTTGGCACAGCCCCTGAGAGAAGGGCCTTTATCCTCATTTCATGAATGAAGAGTCAAGTCTCAGAGAAGTTAGCAGCTTGAGCAAGCTCACACAGTGAGGGGTGGAGCTTGGATTTGAATCCAGGTCTGTCTAACCTCAAAGACTGAAGTGGGGATGAAAATAAGTTGTCATTGTTGTTTGCCTGTCACCCAGGTGATGTAACTCTTGTCTAGGCTCTGCCTACAGGGGCTTTGTAACATATCTGCACTGATCACCCAGGTGATGTAACTCTTGTCTAGGCTTTGCCTATGGAGACTTTGTGACATAGCTCTGCACTGATCACCCAGGTGATGGAACTCTTGTCTAGGCTCTTCTATCCTTGGATTGTAACCTTGCAGGATCTTGAGCTCATATCCTTTCAGGGATCGTAGAAGTGAACACATCAAAGCTGCCATGATAAAGTTGTAGAAAAGTGGGCAATATTGACAAATGCAAAATATCTGGGCTATATTTTGGTCTGAGATCACCATTTGAGATTCCTGGAAGTTAGGGAATATGGAGGCCAACTCCCATAGGGATGTTGTATAAGACTCTAAGCCCTAAGTCAATGATCTCAACCCTGTGGATCAGCACTCGCCATGTAATGGGGCATCTTAACCCATTTTGTGCTGCTATAACAGAATACCATAGACTAGGGAATCTATAAAGAAAGAAATTTATTTCTTAGAGTTCTGGAGGCTAGGAAGTCCAAGGATGAGGGGGTCTGCATCTGGTGAGGGCCTTCTTGCTGTGTCATCTCATGGCTGAAGGCAGCAGAGCAAGACTTTCAGAAAGAAAGAGAGCAAAAGGGGCTGAACTTGCTTTTAATACAAGCGCACTCCCAAGATAACTAACCCACCCCCCAGATAACTAAGCTATTCCTGAGATAGTGACGTTAATCCATGCATGGGGGCAGAGTCTCATAACCCAATCACTCTTATTAGGCCCTGCCTCTCAACACTGTCACATAGAGGATTAAGTTTCCAACACTTGAGCTCGGGGGGACACATGAAGACCATACATGGGGGATTGATGAGTATATGGGAGGGACCAGTCATGAATATTTTGCTGAGAGTTGTGTTTGGGAGCTGAAGCCATGCTCCATCATGGCAGGGCACACATAGACCTTTGAATGCTCTGAGGAATGAATATTGAACAGTGTAACTCATGGCAGAAGGTGGAATATTTAAAAGGCAGAACTGCCTGGGTCAACTATAAGAGTGAACAAACAGCCTGTAGCCTGTGGCTGGCTCCTCTTTTCTTCCCATCCCCACCTTTCACCTTTCTCTCTTTCTTTCTTTCCCTGCCTCCCTCTCTCTCTCCCTTCTTTCCCTCCCTCTTTCCTTCCTTTCTTACTTCCTTCCTCTACTTTCTTCTTTCTCTCCCTCCCTGCTTCCTTGTTTCTTTCCTTCTTTCTCTTTCCCTCTCTCTCCCTCCTTCCTTCCTTCTTTCTCTCATTTCCTTCTCTCTTTCTTTCTCTCTCTCCATCTTTCTCTCCCTCCATCTTTCTTTCTCTCATTCTTTCCTTCCATCTCTCTTTCCTTCTTTGTCCCCTTCCTTCCTTCCTTCCTTCCTTTCTTCCTCCCTCCTTCCTAACTTCCTTTCTTCTCTCTTCCTTTGACTGATGTGTTCTGAGCCCAAGCACCCTGTGGGGTACTAAGTGGTACCAAAATTGACTCAAGAATCAAGAAGAAATAGATAACTAAGAAGTACTATAACATGAAGAACATAAAATCTCTAGTAAAATAAAATCTTTCACAAAGGAGGGACTAGGCCCAGATGGTTGTATGAGCAAATTTTACAGACTTGCAAAGAATTGATCATTCTAATTATGTTCCAAACAACTGTAGCTAGGAATATTAATGCTTGGTTTTTCAAGAGCTTCATTTCCTAAAATCTGTAGGTTCAAAGGTAGATTGGCCTGTGTTGGAAATCCTCAAATATTGTGCAAGTCCTTGGAGTTTTAGCATTAAAAAAGAAAGGGCTTGCCTGCATTAACTTTGAATTTTGTAACAGTTGCCAGTTAATAGAGATACTCTATGCATTTATATACACTCTGATTTTATAGGAATGGAGGCATATCAGACACATGGCTCTCCACCCAGGTTTTTTCCTTTGTAACATATCTTGGACATCATTTTTGAGCATCCTTTTAAAATTTATTTCTTTAAATAGCTGCATAGTAGTCTATCATATGAATAACCATAATTTCAATAAACAGTAAGGTGTTAATCATTAATGTGACTGATAAACATTAAGGTGACTCCTAGACTTTTGTTAATTAAAAAGGTGGTATAATACTTTCTCCCATTCATACATAATTCCAGACATCATGAGTATGTCTGTAGGGTAAATTTCTGGAAGTGAAATTGCTGAATCAGAGAGTATTTCCATTTATAATTCTGGTATATATTGTTTAATTACAATTGATATAGTTTTTACTAATTTATAATCCCAGTAACAAGATGTGAGTACCACTTCAAACTCCACAACTTCACTGGCAGTGCTTGAAGTCATGATGCATATTGCCAGCCTCTCTTCAAGTAAAGTTCTATTAACTCTACAAACATTTTATAAATGACAGACGTTACATTTTCAGATAGCTTTGTGGTAACCAAAAAAGAATTGATTTATTAGCAATTTGTATATCACATTGAGACAAAATATATTTGTGATAAATATCATTATTGTTACGTATTTAAAACATCTCATGTATTAAGAAATCAAACTTTAGATGGGGTCATACTGGCCGATTAGAAGCAGCTGTGTCCCATGGCTCTCACAGAGAGCAATGAAAACTGTGAGTGAATTCTGTACCTTCAATTGAGGTATTCAGGTTCTTGCATTGGAACTGACTGGGCAGACAGCTCGACACACAGAGAGTCAGGAAAAGCAAGTGGGTCAATGACCCACCCAGGTGTGGCTAGCCGAGCCCCCACTCGCAGGCAAGGGAGGCCATGAGTGATTGTTCGACTCTGCCCGGGAAACCATGCTTCTCCGATGGATCTTTGCAACCTGCAGATGAAGAGGTCGCCTCAAGAGCTCAGCCACCACGGCCTTGGGTCTGAAGCACAGAGCTGTGTAGAGTCTCAGCGGAGTGCTCGCTGGCTTACTGGGGCATGCATGGAAACCCAGGAATTTTGCATACTCTGCCCAGAGAATTCCAGCAAAGCGAGAGATACATCTGTGCATTCCCCTATGAAGGGGGCTGAATCCAGGGAGCCAAGTGACATCATTCTGAGGCCCCACTCCCACAGCACCTCATAAGACCCATTGGCTTGGAATTCCAGCAGGCCAGTGGCAGCAGGCTGGAGATAGCCGGAGGTGGACTGAGTTCCCAGGGGGAGGGGCAGTGGCTCTATCTGTGGTTTGAGTTGGCTGCTCTAGCCTGCTGGCACCAGGGACCAGGAGGAGTCCCCTATAACACAGTACAGCTGTTGTGACTGATTGTGGCCAGGCTGCATCTTTAAGTGAGACTGAAATCAATCCCTCCTCACTGGACAGGGCCTCCCCATCAGAATTTTAACAACTCCAGCCGGAGTTCTATGGACAGAACTCTGATTTCTCCCAGGGATGAAGTCCCCAGGGAGAGGGGTAGCTACTTTCTCCCCAGTTCAGCCAACTGAAACTTTCCAGCCTGCTGGCTCTGCAGACTCCTGGGGGTCAGAACAACACACCTGCTCTGCCAAAGGGCAGCCAGACTGCTTCTTTAAGCAGTCCCTGATCCTGTTCCTCCTGAATGGGTGAGACCTCCCAACAGGGGTCACCAGAAACCTCCTACAGGAGCTTTCCAGCTGACATCAAGTCAGTACCCCCTTGGACTGGTGCTCCCAGAGGAAGGATCAGGTTGCCATCTTTGCTGTTTCGCAGCCTTTACTTGTGATACCTCCAGGTGCATGTATGTGAGATAAGGCCCCCAAGGAGAGGTAATAAAAATCAATTCAAGATGGATTAAAGACTTAAATGTTAGACCTAAAACCATAAAAACCCTAGAAGAAAACCTAGGTAATACCATTCAGGACATAGGCATGAGCAAAGACATTGTGACTAAAACACCAAAAGCCATGGCAACAAAAGCCCAAATCGACAAATGGGATCTAATTAAAGAGCTTTTGCACAGCAAAATAAACTATCATCAGAGTGAACAGACAACCTACAGAATGGGAGAAAATTTTTGCAATCTATCTGTCTGACAAAGGGCTAATATCCAGAATCTACAAAGAACTTAAACAAATTTACAAGAAAAAAACAGCCCCATCAAAAAGTGGGCAAAGGAAACGAGCAGACAATTCTCAAAAGAAGACATTTATGCAGCCAAAAAACATATGAAAAAAAGCTCATCACCACTGGTCATTAGATGAATGCAAATCAAAACCACAATGAGATACCATCTCACTCCAGTTAGAATGGCGATTATTAAAAAGTCAGGAAACAGCAGATGCTGATGAGGCTGTAGAGAAACAGGAATGCTTTTACACTGTTGGTAGGAGTGTAAATTAGTTCAGTCATTGTGGAAGACAATGTGAAAATTCCTCAAAGATATAGAACCAGAAATACCATTTGACCCAGTAATCCCATTATAGGGTATATACCTAAAGCATTATAAATTATTATACTATAAAGACACATGAACTGTATGTTTATTTCAGCACTGTATGTTTATTTCAGCACTGTTCACAATAGCAAAGACTTGGAACCAACCCAAATGCCCATTAATGATAAACTGGATAAAGAAAATGTGGCACATATACACCATGGAATACTATGCATTTATGTCCTTTCCAGGGACCGGGATGGAGCTGGAAACCATCATTCTCAGCAAACTAACACAAAAAAAGAAAACCAGTCCAGGAGCAGTGACTCATGCCTGTAGTCTCAGAACTTTGGAAGGCTGAGGTGGGGAGTTTGAGATCAGCCTGACTAACATGGAGAAACCCCGTCTCTACTAAAAATACAAACAATTAGTCAGGCATATTGGCACATACCTGTAATCCTAGCTACTTGGGAGGCTGAGGCAGGAGAATCGCTTGAACCCAGGAGGCAGAGGTTGTGGTGAGCCGAGATCACGCCATTGCAGTCCAACCTGGGCAACGAGAGTGAAAATTTGTCTCAAAAAAAAAAAAAAAAAGAGAGAGAAAGAAAAAGAGAAAAGAAAATCAAACACTGCATGTTCTCGCTCATAAGTGGGAGTTGAACAATGAGGACACATGGACACAGGGAGGGGAACATCACACACTGGGGCCTGTCATGGGGCGGGAGGCTAGGGGAGGAATAGCGTTAGGAGAAATACCTATGTAGATGACGGGTTGATGGGGGCAGCAAACCACCATGGCACGTGTATAACTATGTAACAAACCTGCATGCTCTGCCCATGTATCACAGAACTTTAAGTACAACAAAGAAAACTTTACATAAATGCATAAAGTCTAGAACAGCTAATATATTATAATGAAATGTCAACTATAATCCCAGCTCAAAGAGAACACCATAAAATTATGAAGAGCTCTCCACAAATCTCTAAACTTATGTCCTCATAAGATTACATTTCTATTTCTTTTTGAATAATTTCCTCATTTTAGTTATGATTTGGTGATAGTAAGATGGTAATTATGAGGAGAAAATTCTCCCAACACTCCATAGAGAAAATTCTGCCTCATTTCACCACACACCTGAGTCTTAAGCAGTCACTTCTAATGTAGCTGAATAATAGATCCTCACCCAGCTGAGTCTATGAGTTGAATCCATGTATGTGAGATAAGGCCCCCAAGGAGAGGTAATAAGCTGGGAATGCCATCAGCTCATCTTTCTTCAGGCCTATATTTGTCATTGTCACTTGTAGAAGCAGGACAGCCCTGGCATTGGGATTGGTAGTAACAGAGAGTATCAAAGGGAAAACTGAACTTCCCTAATTTTTGGAAAACAGCAGATTGGAAACAGATGGGCTCCAACGTTTTCCATGTGTGAGGTCATTGTCCCAGGTAGCCTTGCTCAGGACATTTCTTGTCAGCAAAACAGAAGTCAAACGATATTTCTACCTTCCAAGAGAATAGAACATAATGTCAGATTTTCTCATGTATTCCCACAAGTTCAAGAAACTTTCATGGCCTTATTTAACTGCTTAAGCAGTTCAACTAAAAAATTATTTGTCTTTCAAATACACAGGAATCTGTTTGGAAAAATGTTAACCAGAAAACGTTGGAATTCTAAAGTAAAAAATTCATAAGGCCATAAAAATTTTTTATATCTTTTAATTTATATGTCAACTGGGGAAAAAAAAACATTCTCTGAAGTTTCCTTTTATATCATTAAAGACTTATTCTTTATTACCAGCAATACAGGGTGACTTATTCAGGTTGAATCTTGAAGGTAAACTTTAACTTAATTTTAAGTTTTGGCTAATTTTTAAGCATTTCTCAGTCACCCACCATGATTTCATCTCAGAAACCAAAATCTCAATTTCATTTAGACCTTTGAAATATTAAAATAGAAGGTTAAATGCTTCAAAATAATATTCATGTAGAGACTTACATATGTGGACCAGGAATCTCCATGTATTACAAAGTTTATGAGAACATAACAAATGTTGATACACACATTTAATTCTGAAATAAAAACTTACAACAAATAAAACTAACAAATCAAGAAAACATTGTAGGTTACACATTTTATGTCTAAAAATATAGGTATGAAACACTCAATGATGGATAAAGGAGGAAATCACAAGAGAAAAGAAAAAAATATCTAGAGACAGATTAAAAACATGAAATACCAAAAGTTAAGAGATACATTAAAAATGGTACCATAAGGGAAAAATTTATAGCTATAAATGGTTATAAAAAATAATATACCGAATCAACAACTTTACTCCTAAGGAACTAAAAACAGAGAGAAAAAGAGGGACTATTAAAGAGGGACAACTAAAAGCTAGCTAAATTAAAAAAAGATAAAGATAGCAGTGGAAATAAGTGAAATAGAGAATAGAAAAACAATATCAAAAATCAACAAAACCTAGTTTGTTCTCTGAAAAACATCAAAACTGACAAAATTTTATCTAGATTGACTAAGAAAGAAAGGGAATATTCAAATTACTAAACTCAAAAATAAAATGGGTACATTACTAACAAATTTTTGGAGTAAAAAATGGGTGTAGAAGAGTACCATAAGGGACTATACACTAAAAAATTGAATAGTCTAAATAAAATGAACAAATTCCTAGAAACAAAAAACCTACTAAGACTGAATCAGAAAAGTTGAATAAACCTATTCAGCAAGGAGATTCAGCAGGAAGATTGCATCAGTAATCAAAAACCCAGCAACAAAGAAAAACCTGGACCAGATGGTTTCACTGTTGAATTCTACCCATTGTTTAAAGCAGAATTAACACCGCTTCTTCTCAAACTTTTTCAAAACGTTGAAAAGGAGGTAGTTTTTTCTAACTTATTCTATGAGGCCAGTATTACCCTGACACCAAGCCAGACAAAGGCACCATAAGAAAACTACAAACAAACATCCCTTATACATGCTGATGCAAAAATCCTCAACAAAATACCAGCAACTCAAACTTAGCAGTACATTAAAAGGATTATACACTACGAATGAGTATAATTGACTCCTGAAATGAAAGTATGTTCCAGCACATGAAAATCAGCGTAATATCACATTAACATAAGGAAAAAACCCTCATGTGATCATCTTAAGCAAAGAAGAAAAAACATTTGTCAAAATTTAACCCACATTCATGATAAAATATACTTAATAAACTATAAAAAGAAAGAAAACACATTAACATAATGCTATACAAAAAACAAAACAAAACAAAAAGACACAGCTAACATGGTGAAAGACTGAAAGCTTTTACCCTAAGAGCAAAAACAGGGATGCCTGCTTTTACTACTGCTATTTAGTATAGTACTGAAGGTTCTAGTTAGTTAAAACAATAAGGTGAGTAAAGGAATTAAAGATATTCCCATTTTTAAAAAAGTAAAATTATCTGTTTGCAGATGACATAACCTCATATATTAAAAATCTTTTACTTTCTGTGAAATAAACTGTCAGATGCAATAAATAAAATTCAGAAAAGCTGCAGGATACAAAATAATACACAAAAATCAGTTGTATTTCTACAATAACAATAAACTATCTGAAGAAGAAATCAAGGCAACAGTATCATGTGTGATAGCATCAAAAGAATAAAATACTTAGAAACCCACTTAACCAAGGAAATGAAAAACCTGTACAGCAAAAACTAGAAACATGGCATGAAAGTATTAAAGATGACACAAATAAATGAAAAGACATCATATGTTTATGGACTGGAAGACAAAATCTTGTCAAGGTGCCATTGTTATCTATAGTCATCTACAGATTCAATAAAATCACTGTAAAAATTCCAATATTTGAAAAAATAGAAAAACCTGTTCTAAAATTCAGATGAAATCTCAAAAAACCCCAAGCAGCCAAATCAATCTTAAAAATTAACAAAGTCAGAGGACTATGACCTCCTGGTTTCAAACTTCAGTATGCAAAACAATGCTGTACCAGCATAGAGACAGACACAAAGACCAATGCAATAGAAATAAAGAACCAAAAAATATGGTCATGATTTTTAACAAGGGCATCAACACTGTTCAATGGGGAAAGGAAGGTATTTTTTTAAATGGTGTTAAAAACGGATATTTACATCTATCTATCTATCTATTTATATGCATATATATTTATATGTATATATATTTATAAGTATATATATATTTATATGTGTATATATATATATCCCAAATTAGCTTTTTGTCTGTCATGTATGTTGCAGATCTATTTCCCCAGTCTGTTGACTTTTGACTTTGAGACATTTTTCTCTCATACAAAATTTTAATTTTTATGGAGTCAAATACAACCTCGGCGACGATCTGGTTCCCACACTGCCTGGCCTGCATGAGCACGATTTCCCTCATGGCCAAGGCGGGATTAGAGTGGCAGGAGAAATGCGAGAAGGAGGAGCAGATGCGCAGCTACCCAGCCCACACTCCACCACCGCTGAAATAGACCCGCGCCCACCTCCCTCAGCCTCGGGTTCGGCTCACAGAATAAGCAACAGCTTTACTTCCACACAGGTGTACCCACCTGTGAATCCCTTGGCGTTGAACGTCTGTTGGAGAGCTCAGGTGTCCTTGCTGTGGTCCTTTCCACATTGGGGAAAGCTGGTCAGCTGGAGAACTTCCTCCAACATCTTTAGTAAGACTAAATCCCTAGCTGAGCTGAAACTGAATTTTCCTCCCATGTGGGAGGGGAAGACTCTTGTATCCATATTCACAGAGTGTCTTTGCACCTGTCCTAGATTGATGACATATTTTTGTAATTGATGAGTCTTTTCATCTATTAGGAGATCTGTGCTTAGGAAAGGTCTTCCGAATGTTAACTCAACAGGATTTAATTATAAGTTTTACTTTGGAACAGTTCAAACCCGCAGTAAGCTATGGGTGTTAGAGACAGTCAGGCTTCTGATTTAGCTAGAGTCTTCTTTAGAGTAGGATTAGCCCTTTCACCTTTCCAGAGGACTGCGGTCTGCACACAGAGTGAAGTTAATATTGCATTCTTAAAGCTGAGGATAGGTGTTGGGATACACCTGCTGTGAAAGATGGGCCATTGCCACTTTGCAGGCTTTTAGATTACCCAAACTGATGAGTTATTTCTTCTGGTAAACATGTTTCAGATGGGGTGGGGAATGCCTCGATCTAACCAATGAAGGTATCAGTAAGCATTAGCAAATATTTGAATCTCCTGCAGAAAGGTAGCTCAGTAAATTAGAGTTGCCAGTTCTCACTTGGATAGGTTCCTCAATTTTGGACAGGTTTACCTGGAGAAGGAGAAAATTACTAGCCGTTTGGGTCATGTCAGGCACAGAGATCACAGGGCTGAGTCACCTGTTTTGGTGTCTTGAAAAGATTTACCCCTATAAACAAATGAGACATTAACAGAAACCAAGAATCCCTTCTAGGGTGGAGAGAATCATGAAAGTTCTGAATTATATTCCTATGATTGGTACTTGGCATTAGTAATTTATTACCATCATTCAGCCAGCCAGAGGGACCCTGGACTGAAATGCAATCCCTGGCCCATTTTTGTTCTTCTTCAGAGTGTTCTGGCTCAGTTCAATGTATGCTGACCAGCACACCCATAAGCTTCATTGGCCCTTTCAGTGCAGGGGCCTTGGCTGCGGCATCTGCAAGGGCATTTCCTTTTATATGGTCAGTCTCTCTTTTGATGTCCTCTGCAATTAATTATAGTCACTTTTTGGCAGCAAAGCAGCATTCTAACAAGCTCAAAATCTGAATGATGTTGTATGGAAAAGCCCTTGGGGGTCAGGAGTCCCTACCCATTCCAAATTGCAGCATAAGCATGAAGCACTAAAAAGTCATACTTGGAATCAGTGTAAATGTTAACTTTTAAATCCTTTCCCAACTGCAGGGGCTGATTAAGTTCAATTAACTCAGCTTTTTGAGCTGAGGTCGAGGCCAGCAAGACTTGTGCCTTGATTTTCTTGTGCTGACTACTAATAGCATATCTACCACTCCTGTTTTCCTGATGCATAAAACAACATACATCTGTTAACCACTCTTCCTTGGGATGGTCAAGGGGCTCATCTCTCTTAAGTCTGGCCCGCTAGAATAAATTTGTTTCATAACTGTGACACGCTTTGGCTGTGTCCCAGTCAAATCTTATCTTGAATTGTAGCTCTCATAATTCCTATATATCGTGGGAGGGATCCAGTGGGAGGTAATCGAATCAGGGGATGGGTCTTTCCCATGCTGTTCTCGTGACAGTGAATGAGTCTCATGAGATCTGATGGTTCATTTATTTATTTATTTATTTATGAGACATAGTCTTGCTCTGTTGCTCAGGCTGGAGTGCATTATCATGACCTTGGCTCACTGCAACCTCTGAATCCTGGGTTCAAGTGATTCTCCTGTCTCAGCCTCCCGAGTAGCTGGGATTACAGGTGCCTACCACCAGCCTAATTTTTGTACTTTTAATGTAGACGGGGATTCACCATGTTGGCCAGGCTGGCCTCGATCTCCTCACCTCAGGTCATCCACTGCCTTGGCCTCCCAAAGTGCTGGGATTACAGCTGATGGTTTTATAAAGGGGAGTTTCCCTACACAAGCCCTTTTGCCTGCTGCCATGTAAGAGATGTGACTTTGCTCCTCATTTGCCTTCTGCCATGAGTGTGAGGCCTCCGACCATGTGGAACTGTGAGTCAATGAAACCTCTTTTCTTTGTAAATTATCCAGCCCCAGATATGTCTTTATTAGCAGCATGAGAACAGACTAATACAACCTGTATGCCAGGAAGTCTAGAAGCACCTGTGGACTCTGGCCGATAAGTAGCTAGGTTTATGGTTTGGCAGCCTTTAAAGGTTATGTGTGGAGGGTCTAGCAATAAGGCCTGATACTTTCATAAATGTCCTCCTATTATCCACTGCTGCCCTTTAGCTTCTAGGACCACCTTCCCTTGGTGTGGGGTCAAAAATCTGTAGGTGCTGTTCTAATGTTAGTTTATTAGCTTTGCCTGCTAGAAAAGTGGTAGCAGCAATAGCTCTAAGACATCAAGGCCACCCTGAGGCCAACTGGTCTATCTGCTTAGAAAATTAGGCTACTGGCTTTGGAATGTCCCCCAGTTTTGGGACAAGATTACCCAAGGCCTATGCCTTGCTTTTTGGTCACATAAAGAAAAAATGGTTCATCCAACTTGGGGACTCCTGTGGCTGCAGCAGAGCCCAATTTCTCCTTGAGAGTATTGAAGTTTTGCTTGCAGTTCTCATTACATTCTAGGAGCTCTAAATCTTTCCCTTTAATGTATCATATAAAGGCTTGGCTACATGCCCAAATCTGAGCACCCATAAGCAGCAGTACCCAGCTATCTCCTAAAAAAGCCCACAGTTATTTTTTGGACAGGGACTCTTGGGTCACTAAAATAACTTTTTTATCTTCCGGGATGTTGATCAGTTCCAGAGGTTAAGACAGTTTCCAAATATTTAAGTCTTTCAGTCAAAATCTGAACCCTGTGTGGTGATGCCCTATATCTGCAAGTTCCCAGGAAATTTACCAACTTAACATTATTATTATGAGTCTTCTTTAGTTGGGCTAGCAATGAGCAAGTCACCTACATACTGAATAATTGTGTCCCTTTCCAATTGTAGATTTGTTAAGTCGTTAGCTAGAGCATTTTCAAATAAGTGGGGGCTATCCCAGAACCCTTCAGAGATGACTGTCCAGGTTAGTTTTGAGGCTGAATGGATATCTGGATCAGTCCATTCAAAGGCAAACATATTATGAATCTGGATGCATTGAGATCTAGAAAAGTGCATCTTTCAGATTTAGGAATGTAAACCAGCTTGCATCCCTTGGGACTTGGTAAGTATTGGGGACAATGAGGTGTATGGAGACAACTGCATTTCTTAATGCCCTACGGGTTTTGACAAATCTGTACTTGCCATTAGGCTTTTTATCTGGTAACATGCGAGTGTTGTAGGAGACTCTCATGGCCTTAATAACTCATATGGCAAGAATTTGGCAATAAGGCGTTGAATTTCCCCTCATGCTTCTCGCCTTAAAATGTATTGTCTCTTCTGAGGGTGAGGAGCACTAGGCTGAAGTTGGATTTGAATGAGGGAGGTGTTTAGTGCATTTCCCAGAGCCTGTGTGGCCCAAACCTCAAGATTTACTTGAGACAACACCTCAGGTGATAAATGTGACAACTCATTCTTAACATCTTTTTTCCCCTGAGGGGTCAGGAACAAAAGTAACAGTTTCTATGCTTTATGATCTGTGAAGGTGACCATGACTTGGTCTCCTGAGTCAATAAACCTCTCCCCAGTAAGAGGTCAGGCAATCAGACAGTACTAAAAAGGCAGGCGAGAAACCTAGAGGCTCTGGAGGACAACTTAGAAGATAAGAAAAGCAGTGATTTTGGGCTTGTCCATCATGAGAAGACAGGAGCCCATTGTATTGAATCAGGACAGAGTAATCTGCTCCCATACCTAATACGAAGTTAATACTCCTACCTGCTACTTCAAGAGTCACCTGAGGCTCCTCCATCTCTCAATAGCTAATAGTCCAATGGGAGCAGAGGCAGGAAGTATCAGGCCCTCCCAGTTTTGAGTCTGCTGGGCTCTGATGATGGCTCCCTTGGAAGCACAGTGCATTTCCTTCGGCAGTGGCCGACCTTCCTACAGAAGGCACATTGATTTATATCCAAGGCACAGTGGCCCAGAGTCACAGACTGGGACTTTTACCTTCTCACTTCCTCTGTGAGGGCCAGGGGTTAAGGGGCTGCCTCTGAAGTGGTGGAGAGCACAAGGCTGCAGGTAGAAGCTGGGCCTCTTGGAAGATTTGCTTTATTTTATATTTTCTTGGCCCTATTCCTGTGATGGAAAACTGCAAAATCCAAGTCTAAAATCTGATCTATGGGAGTCTAGAAGCCTAAGGCTGCTTTTGGTGGCTTCCTATAAATATCAGAAGCAGACCGGGCTATAAAATAAACTCCTAGCAATGCTTGTCCCTTCTTGGAGTCAGGGTCAGTGTTACTGTATTTCCTCAAGGTCTAAATTATCCACCCTTGTAATAAGGCTAGGTTTTCATCTTTTCCCTGAGTAATTTTCCAGACTTTATAAAAATTAAAAAGCTTTATCACACTTTTTTTATTCCTTCCAGGAGTCAAATGATCATAATTTTTTCTCTCTATATCCCACTTTCTTCCTAATTCATTTGTCTTTTCTAGATTCTAGTTCTTTTGGGTCCTAGTCAGGCACTGCTATGCCTCCTATTTGATAGGTGTCTTGCCCCTGGTTGCAGGCTGCCACCCTATTAGCATGTGCTCTAGCCACTCCCACAATGCACTGTGTTTCTACCATGCAGCAGATAAACATAAATATATGCAAATGCTGCCTGGTCAGATCATACATCAAGGTTAGCCTCTTAAATTTGTCTATGAATTTTCCCGGAACCTCTGAAAACTGTTTTAGTTTTTCCTTGCATATGGCTAATTCAGACGTAGAAAAGGGTACATATACCTATATAGTGTGGGGAAAAGAAAGAGAGATCAGACTGTTACTTTTTCTATGTAGAAAGAAGTAGACATAAGACACTCCATTTTGTTCTGTACTAAGAAAAATTCTTCTGCCTTGAGATACTGTCAATCTGTAACCCTACCCCCAACCCTGTGCTCACAGAAACATGTGCTGTGTCGACTCAAGGTTTAATGGATTTAGGGATATGCAGGATGTGCTTTGTTAAACAAATGCTTGAAGACAGCATGATTGTTAAAAGTCATCACCACTCCTTACTCTCAAGTACCCAGGGACACAAAACAGTGCGGAAGGCCACAGGGACCTCTGCCTAGGAAAGCCAGGTATTGTCCAAGGTTTCTCCCCATGTGATATTCTGAAATACGGCCTCGTGGGAAGGGAAGGACCTGACCATCCGCCAGCCCGACACCTGTAAACGGTCTGCGCTGAGGAGGATTAGTAAAAAAGGAAGGCCTCTTTGCAGTTGATATAAGACAAAGCCATCTGTCTCCTGCTCGTCCCTGGGCAGTGGAATGTCTCAGTGTAAAACCCGATTCTATACTCCATCTACTGAGATAGGAGAAAACCGCCTTAGGGCTGGAGGTGAGACATGCTGGAGGCAATACTGCTCTTTAAGGCATTGAGATGTTTATGTATATGCACATCAATAGGACAGCACTTTTTTCTTTACCTTGTTTACGATGCAGAGACATTTGTTCACATGTTTTCCTGCTGACCCTCTCTCCACTGTTACCCTATGGTCCTGGCACGTCCCTCTCTCCGAGAAATGCCCGATAATGATCAACAAATACTAAGGAAACTCAGAGACTGGTGCCGCCGCGGGTCCTCCATATGCTGAGCGCCGATGCCCTGGGCCCACTTTTTCTCTATACTTTGTCTCTGAGACTCTTTTCACAAGTCTCTTGTTCCACCTGACGAGAAACGCCCAAAGGTGTGTAGGGACAGTCCACCCCTTCAATATAGTGTCCCTATTATCATCTGTCACTTCCCAGAGAGGGCAAATATTCAACTTTGCCAGCTGATAAGAGGCCCCACTGCATGTTGTTCTGGTGAATCTCGGGTGTTTCGAGAGTGGGGTATGTACGTAAGACAGGACTCGAAGGGCAGGGAGAAGATGATGACTGGACACTAGATAACCCTGGAAAACTAGAAGAAATTAATAACATGTTGCACACCTCACCAGAACTGGAAGGAGTCTGACTGTGTTCTTATGGGGTGCTTGGACTGGCAGGGGGAGTTCAGCCCCAGCTAAGAAAAGCCTAATATTAAGAGGTACTTGCATTAAAAGGGTAATCAATTACATGCTGTTCCTATTTTGTCTTTTCCTCCATCAAACATATAGAAGCCCATTTTAATTTTTTATCCTGACCAAGCATCAGAGAAGCCTGTATATAATGTATTTCCTCCCTCTTAGTTTCTCTTCTATAAAACAAATTAAGCTGCAAAATAGGAGTCAGATCAAACAGGGGAAATGGGAAGGCTGTAGCTTGTATATTGTAATGTATTAGTCCATTTTCACACTGCTATGACAAAACTGACAAAACTCTCTCAGGAAAAAAGTGACTTGCTGGGTTTAGAAAGTAGGGTCCAGCTGCCCTATACCAGCTCATCAAATATGGCTTTATGGTTAACAAATGAGAGAAAACTGTTAAGAAAAACCCTCATATTCTCCATCTTGAGGGTAATTATTTGCAGAGGGTTGCCATAGAAGAGGCTGTCACTAAACAGGCATATCTGATCTTATCATGTAGAGCTCTTAAATACCACATTTCAACTTCTAGTCATAATGATGGCAAGGTTACTGCTGATCTTTTCTGATAATTAAGGTAAAAAAATACTAGGTTAGAAGACAATTCTTTTTTTCAGTGTCACTTGGACCAGTGGCAAATTAAACAAGCAGTCAGTTAAGAGTCAGAGGATCGGTGAGGAAAGTAAAAGCTAAGCTCTTTGGGGCCTCTGTCCTGGGACAGCCTCCAGTGTACTACAAAACAGAAGTGGTGAGCAGAAAGGTGACAATATGTAGAGCACTCAGGTGAGGGACAGAGAGCACAAGGTGGACAGTCCAAAAAGAGAAAGTGGCAAATATCTTGTTTAGCCAAATCCATTCTTCTCAATATTCCCAGGTCCACTAATCCTGTGGGCTTGGCATCTAATCTGAGTATGATAATAGTGGATAATCATTCTTGCCCACCAGAATGGCTTCACGAATCTAAAAGACAGCCCACTTGCCAGGTGTCAGCTGATTGATTCTGTGTCGATTTTTTTCCTTGGAGTGGGGGTCTTGTCTTGGCGTGCGTTCATGGTGTTGCTGAAAGATGTTGCTGGAAAAGAGGGTCCTGATACAGACCACAAAGTAGGATTTTCAGATCTTGTGCAGGAAAAAATTTGAGGTGAGTCAGAGAGCACAGTGAAAGAAGCAAGTTTATTAGAAATTACTCCATTACAGAGTTGGACATCCTCAGAAAACAAGAGGAGGAATGCATTGTCTTTTGTTAGTGTCTCTACTTATAAATAACTATAAAGAGAAAGAGTTATAAATAAACTTGGAAGGTGCAGATATAGTCACTAAAGTTGGGGCTATTGGTTTTAACTATAACCATTAACCTATTGACCTAAGCTACCTCATCAATAATATCCTTACAAAAAAATGCTGCACTCCTAGGACATTTATACATTTTTTAGGCTTGGTGGAAGATGTCTTGTATGACCACAAATATTCTGCAATTGTAATTTGTGGCCAGGTAAAAAATGTGACTATTTTCGGACCATGAACATTAACCTTCTAGATGCCTTGTGAGTACCTAGCTACTCATATTAAGATAGAATATTCTAGTCAGGTTTATTAAACTAGAAGCTAGGTAACCATGAGTTCCTCCAACAGAGCAAGTCTACTCCTCAAGGAGAAAATGTATTTCTCAGGAATTTTGTACATTTTGTTTGATGGCATTTGGTATGTTTACCAAAATGGCAGAAAAGAGTGAAATTAGTCCTCAAAGATTTCTCCAGATTGGATATAAAGTAAACAAAATGATTACAGTTAATATGCAAGTTGGTACAGTTGATATTCAAAAGAAATTTTGTTTGAAACAAAATGAGATTTTCATTTTTACTTTTTATTATTATTATTATTATTATTATTATTAATTATTATTATTATCATTTTGAGACAGAGTCTTGCTCTGTTGCCCAGGCTGGAGTGCAGTGCGCCATCTTGGCTCACTGAAACCTGCGCCTCCCGGGTTCAAGCAATTCTCCTGCCTCAGCCTCCCAAGTAGCTGGGATTACCGGCATGAATCACCATACCAAGCTAATATTTGTATATTTAGTAGAGATGGGGTTTCACTCTGTTGGCCAGGCTGGTCTCAAACCCCTGACAACAAGCGATCTACCCACCTTGGCCTCCCAAATTGCTAGGATTACAGGCATGAGCCACCACTCCCAGCCACAATGAGGATTTTAAATAATTCTGATTTCCTGCTGTTGAGCAGGGAGCTGAGCAAGTTCAACAGATCATGGGCCTAAACTAGGGGAAGACTGAGGACAAACTCTAGAACACATGTGATTAAATTAATTACAATGGAAACCAAATCAAATTGAATAAGGCTCTACCTCTTAGTTTCAAGATGTTTCCCCTCATTTTGAAATGTGGTGTTATTCCATGGAAAAGAAAACTAATGTTTATCTCAAGAGTAAAGAACAGGGTTCTTTGCAGGGATTGATTGACTGAGAACTATGGCTCAGGATTAAAAATCCTTCTTTTTTCCATTTATAGACTAAAAATAAATTTCTAAACCCCTGTTGACTAAATGGACCTCTCTTCTTGGATAAGGACATTCCAAAGTTAACCTGAAAAGCTAGTTCAAGCCATGGGTCACACATGCCTCATTATACTCTCCTCATTTTGGTTTTAATTTTAATTTAAATTTCAATTTTTAATTTATTTTTGTGGGTACATAGTTGGTGTATATATTTATGGGGGTACATAAAATACTTTGATGCAGTCATGCAATGAGTAATACATAATAAAAAATGGGGTATCTGTCCCCTCAAGCATATATAGCTTGTGTTATAAACAATCCAATTATACTCTTTCAGTTTTTTTACATGTGGAATTAAATTATTTTTGACTATAATCACCCTGTTGTGCTTTCAAATGCTGTCTTATTCATTCTTTCTAACAATTGTGTTTTTACCCATTTAGCATCCCCACTATCCCCTTGTTCCCTTCCTGCCTTTCCCGGCCTCTGGTAACCATCCTTATACTCTCTATCTCTATGACACCAACTGTTTTGAATTTTAGCACCCACAAATAAGTGAGAACATGTGACATTTGTCTTTCTGTGCCTGACATTTCACTTTCATAAACATGAAGACTTTCACAAACATGAAGACTTTCAGTTCCATTTATGTTATTGCAAATGGCAGGCTCTCATTCTTTCTTACAGCTGAATAGTACTCCATTGTGTATATGTACCACATTTTCTCTATCCAGTCATCTGTTGATGGACATTTAGGTTCCTTCCAAATCTTGACTATTATAAACCCTGCTGTAGCAAACATGAGAGTGCCAATAGGTCTTTGATTTACCAATTTTATTTCTTGTAGGCATATACTGTGCAGTGGGATTGCTGGACCACATAGTAGCTCTATTTTTAGTTATATCGGGAACATCCAAACTCTCCTTAAATGTGCTCCCAACAGCAGTGTACAAGGGTTCCCTTCACTCCACATACTCACCAGCATTTGTTTTTCACGGACTTCTGGATAAAAGCCACCTTAACTGGGGTGAAATGATATCTCATTTTGTGTTTGATTTGCATTTCTATGATGATCAGTAATGTGGAGCACCTATTCATTTGCCTGTTTCACATTTGTATGTCTTCTTTTCATAAATGTCTATTTAAATTTTTTGTCCACTCTTTATTTATTACTTTTTTCTATAGAATTTCTTGAACTCAATATATTGTAGTGTATTAGTCTGTTTCTGCACTGCTATAAAAAAATACCTGAGACTGTGTTATCTATTTATTTACTGAGATGAAGTCTTGGTCTGTTGCCCAGGCTGAAGTGCAGTGGTGTAATCTCGGCTCACTGCAACCTCCACCTCCTGATTCAAGCAATTCTCTGCCTCAGCCTCCTGAGTAGCTGAGATTACAGGCACCTGACACCATGCCTGGCTAATTTTTGTATTTTTAGTAGAGACGGGGTTTCACCATCTTGGTCAGGCTGGTCTTGAACTTCTGACCTCGTGATCCACCCGCCTCAGCCTCCCAAAGTGGTGAGATTACAGGCATGAGCCACCGCACCTGGCAAGACTGGATAATTTATAAAGGAAATGGGTTTAATTGACTCACAGTTCCACATGGCCAGGGAGGCCTCAGGAAACTTACAATAATGGCAGATGGGGAAACAGGCACTTCTTACATGACAGCAGGCGAGAGAGCATGTATGTGAAGCAAAGGGGGAAGAGTCCCTTATAAAACCATGATATCTCATGAGAAATCACTCATTATCAGAAGAACAGCATGGGGAAAACCACCCCCATGATCCAATCACCTTCTACCAAGTCTCTCCCTCAACATCTGGGGATTACAATTCAATATGAGATTTGGGTGGGGACCCAAATCCTAACCATATCATGTAGCTATTAATTGTTTTCAGATGGATAATTTACAAATATTTTCTCTCATTCTGTGGATTTTCTCTTCACTTTGTTTCTTCTTTCCTTCACTTTAAAAAGGCTTTCTGACTTTCTGTAATCCCATTTGTCCATGTTTGTTTGGGTTGTCTGTTCTTCTAGGGCATTATTTAAGGAATTTTTGCCCAAACCAATGCTCTAAAGAGTTTCCCCAATGTTTTCTTGTAAAAGTTTGATGGTTTGAGGCGTTAGGTTTAAGTCTTTAATTCATTTTAATTTGATTTTTGTAAGTGGCAAGAAATAGGGTTCTAGTTTTATTCTTCTGCCTATGGCTTGCCAGTTTTCCCAGCCCTATCTATTACAAAAACTGTCTCATTTTTTATTGTATGTTCTTGGTACTTCTGTTGAAAATTAATTTGGGTGTTCCTCCCATAGGATTCCAGAACACTGCTACGAGGGTCTGAATGTTTGTCCCTCGCATCGGATTCCAGAATGCTGCTGGGTTCTAAATGTTTGTCACGTAGGATTCCAGAACACTGCTACGAGGTTCTGAATGTTTGTTCCTCACAGGGGATTCCAGAACACTCCTGCTGTTGTCTGAATGTTTGTCCCTCACATAGGATTCCTGAACACTGCTATGAGGGTCTGAATGTTTGTCCCTCACACAGAATGCCAGTTTTCCCAGCCCTATTTATTATAAAAACTGTCTTATTTTTTATTGTATATTCTTGGCACTTTTGTTGAAAATTAATTTAGCTGTATGAGTTTGTTTCTAAGGTCTCTATTTCATTCCATCTGTCTTTATGTCTGTTTTTATGCTAGTGTCATGCTGTTTTAATTACTATAACTTAGTAGTATAATTTAAAACCAGGTAACGGAATTCCTCCAGTTTTGTTTTATACACTCAGCATAGCTTTGACTATTATGCTGTTTTGTGATGTTTCCATATAAATTTCAGAATTTTTTTTCTATATCTGTGAGGAATGTCTTCTTCCTCTTTTTTTTTTTTTAGATTGCATCTTGCTCTGTCACCTATACTGGAGTGCAGTGATGTTATCCCTGCACACCGCAACCTCCACCTCCTGGGTTCAAGCAATTCTTTGTCTCAGCCTCCTGAGTAGCTGGGATTACAGTCACCTGCCACCGTGCCTGGCTAATTTTTTTGTATTTTTAGTAGAAGTGGGGTTTCACCAAGTTGGCCAGGCTGGTCTTGAACCCCTGACCTCATGATCCACCAACTTCAGCCTCCCAAAGTGCTGGGATTACAGGCATGAGCCACTGCCCCTGGCCTGTTATTTTGATAGAGATGGCATGAAATGTATAGATTGATATGGATTGTATGGACATTTTTTAAAAACACTGATTCTTCCAATCTGTGAACATAAAAATATCTTTCCAATTTTTGGGTCCTTTTTCATTTCTTTTATCAGTGTTTTACAGTTTTAACTGTTGAGATCTTTTATTTCTTTGGTAAATTCCAACACATTTTGTTTTATTTGTGGCTACTGCAAATAGTATTACATTTTTGAATTCTTTTTCAGTTTGTTGACTGTTGGCATATAGAAATCCTACTGATTTGTATATGTTGATTTTGTATTCTGCAAATTTACTCAAGTTATTACTCCTAATAGTTTTTGGTGGATGTATTAGACCATTCTCATATTGCTATAAAAAGTAATCAGTGACTGGTTAATTTATAAAGAAAATAGGTTTAATTGGTTCATGGTTCTTCAGGCTGTACAGAAAGCATAGCACTGGCTTCTGCTTCTGGGGAAGCCTCTGACAACTGACAAGGTGAAAAATAAATCCAGTGCTTGCACATCATATGATAAGTGTGAGGGCAGGGGGGAAGTGCCACACACACTTGTAGATAACCAGCTCTGATAAAAACTTACTATTGTGGGAATGGCACCAAAGGAAATGATGCCAAACTCTTCATGGAAATCTTGCCCTCATGATTCAATCACCTCCCCTCTAGGCCCACTTCCAACATTGAGTATTATATTTCAATATAAGATTTTGTTGGGAATACACATCCAAACTGTATCATTTTGCCCCTGGCGATTCCAAATCTCATATCCTTCTCATATTTCAATATACAATCATGACTTCCCTATAATCCCCAAAGTCTTAACTGATTTCAGCCTTAACTCAAAAGTCAAAAGTCTCATCTAAGACAAAGCTAATTTCTTCCTTCTATAAGCCTGTAAAATAAAAAAAAAAAACAAGTTAAGTTCTTCCAAGATACAAATGAGGCAGAGACATTGGGTAAATACTCCTATTCTAAAATGAAGAAATCAGCCAAAAGAAAGGGGCCACAGGATCCCTGAAAGTCTGAAACCGAGAAGGGCAGTTATTGAATTGTAAGGCTCCAAAATAATTATTTTTGACTCTGTGTCCCATTTCCAGGGTACACTAATGCCTTGGGAAGGTTCTACCTTGTGACTTTGCATGGTTCAGCCCCCACAGCTGCTCTCATGGGCTGGCATTCTGTGCCTCTGGCTTTTCAAGGTGCCAGGTGCAGGCTGTAGCTAGATCTACCATTCTGGGGCCTGGAGGACAGTGATACTCCCCTCACAGATCTACTAGGCCATGACCCAGTGGGGAGCCTGCCTGGGGACTGTCACCCCACATTTCTTTTCTCCATTGTTTTAGTAGAGGATCTCCATGAGGGCTCCACCCCTGCAGCATGCTTCTGCCTGCACACCCTGGCTTTTTCATACATCCTTTCAAATAAAGGTGGAGGCTCCCAAGTCTCAACTACTTGCATTTGGTAAACCCACAGGCCTAACACCACATGGAAGCTACCAAGGTTATGGCTTGCACCCTCTGAAGCGTGACTGGAGTTGTAACTGGGTCAATTTGAGCTACACCTGGAGCTGAAGCAGTGGCCAGGATGCAGGGAGCCTTGTTCCAAAGCTACCCAAGGCAGCAGGTCCTAGGTCTGATCCCAGAAACTATTGTCTTCTTTTAGGCCTCAGGGCCTGTGATGGGGGGCTGCCTTTTAGATTTTTTAAATGCCTTCAATTCCTCTTTCCCATTGCCTTGGCTATCAACACTTGCTTTTTTTTAGGTTATACAAATATCTCTAACAAGTAGTTGACCCATATCCTGCTTGAGTTCCTCTCTTATAAAAGCTTTTTATATTTCAGCCACATGACTAGGCTGCAAAGTTTTCAAGCTTTTACACTATGCTTCTTTTGTAAGTATAAGTTACTACTTATTTTATTTTTATTTTTTTTTTGCTAGAACATGTGAGCATAGGTTGTTAGAAGCAGCCAGGCCACATCACAACTGCTTTGCTGCTTAGACATTTTTCCAACAGAAACCCTAAATCATCAATTTCAAATTCAAACTTTTATATATCCGTAGGGCATGACAGAAATTCAGCCAATAACTTTGCTAAGACAACATGCATGACCTTTGTTTCAGTCCCAATAAGTTTCTAGTTTTCATCTGAGATCTCCTCAGCCCAGGCTTCCCTGTACAGATCACTATCAGCATTTTGGTTACAGGCATTCAACCAGTCTCTAAGAAAATCTCAACTTTCCCTCATTTTTCTGTCTTCTGAATCCTACAGACTCTTCCAACTTCTGCCTGTTTATCCAATTACAAAGCTGATTCCACATTTTGGGGTATTCTTATAACCATTTTCCATTCCTTGGTGCCAATTTTCTGTATTAAGCTATTTTTGCATCACTATGAGAGTGGGACTGGATAATTTATTTTTTACAAAGTAGGTTTAAGTGGCTTATGATTCTACAGGCTGTAGAGAAGACATAGCACTGGAATATGCTTCTGGGGAGGTCTCTGGAAGTTTACAGTCATGGCAGAAGTTGAAGCAGAATCTTGCACATCACAGGGCAAAAAGCAGGAGCAAAAAACAGAGGGGCGAGTTGTTACACAGTTTTAAATAACCAGATCTTATGGAACTCACTCACTATCATGAGAATAGTAACAAATGGGATGGTGCTAAGCCATTTATGAGTAATCCACCCCAATGGTTAAATCACCTTTCACCAGGCCCATTTCCAACATTGAGAATTACATTTAAATATGAAATTTGGGAGGGGACACACATTCAAACCCTATCAGAGGAGTCTTTATGCTTTTTCCAATATAAGATTATATAATTGGCAAAAAAAAAAAGGTAATTTGACTTCTTTTCCAATTGGGATGCGTTTTATTGCTTTCTCCTGTCTGATTGCTCCAGATAAGACTTTCAGCATTATGTTGAATAACAGTGGTAAAAGTGGACATTCTTGTCATCTTCCAGATTTTAGAGGAAAGGCTTTTAGTTTTTCCCCACTTAGTGTGATACTGGCTGTGGGTCTGTCAAATGTGACTTTTATTATGTTGAGGTATGTTCATTCCATACCCAGTTTTCAAATGGTTTTTTTTAATATTAAAGACTATTAAATTTTATCAAATTATTTTTAGCAAAATTGAAATGATTATATGGATTTTGTCCTTGTTTTGTTTTGTTTTTTTGAGATGAAGTCTCCCTCTGTCACCCAGGCTGGAGGACAATGGCATGATCTCAGCTCAATGCAAACTCTGCCTCCCAGGTTCAAGTGATTCTTCTTCTTCAGCCTCCTGAGTAGCTGGGATCACAGGTGCCCACCACCACGCCTGGCTAATTTTTGTAATTTTAGTAGAGACGGGGCTTCGCCATGTTGGCCAGACTGGTTTTAAACTCCTGACCTCAGGTGATTTGCCCACCTCGGCTTCCTAAATTGCTGGGATTTCAGGTGTGAGCCACTGTGCCTGGCCCCTTCATTCTCTTTATGTGATCTATCACATCGATTGATTTGCATGTTGACCCATCCTTGCATCCCTGGGATAAATCCCACTTGGTCATTATTAATTACATATTTATGTATTGCTTAATTCAGTTTGTTAGGTGTTTTGCAAATTTTTCCACCAATATTCTCAGATATGGGCCTGTCGTTCCCTTTTTTTAATGTGTCTTTGTCTGGTTTTGATATCAGGGTAATACTAGCCTCAAAGAATGAGTTTGGAAATGTTCTTTCCTTCTCTAGTTTTCAGTCTGGTCCTACAGACTTTTCTTATTAAGGCTTTAATTTTGTTAATAGTTATTGATCTGTTCAGGTTTTAGATTTTTTTCCTAGTTAAATCTTGGTAAGTTTTGTGTATCTAAGAATTAATTTCCTCTAGGTTTTCTAATTTGTTGGCATACAATTGCTGATATTTTTTACTAATGATCCTTTGTTTTTCTGAAGCATTATTTGTAATGTCTCCTTTTTCACCTCTGATTTTACTAATTTGTATCTTTTCTGTTTTTTAGTTAGCCTGTTTAAATATTTGTCAATTGTTTTACTTTTCAAAAAATCAACATTTTCTTTCATTAATTCTTTACATTATTTTCATCATTTTAACTTTATCTACTTCTGCTCTAATCTTTATTATTTCTTTTCTTCTAATTTTGGGTTAGGTTTGGTCTTTTATTCTAGTTAATTAAGATGTATTGTTAGGTTATTTATTTGAAGCTTTTCTGTTTTTTATGCAGTCACTTACAGTTATAAATTTTCCTTTTATAATAATATATCTTTCACTATATTCCATAGGTTTTTCTATGCTATGTTTCCATTATCATTTGTTTCAAGAAATTTTTCTATTTTCTTCTTAACATTTTTATCAACCTACTAATCATTCAGGAGCATATTGCTTAATGTCCATGTGTTTATATAGTTTCTTAAATTCCTTTTTTAATTGATATCTAGTTTTATCCCCTGTAGTCAGAGAAAATGCTTGATATTACTTCAATTTTTTGGAATGTTTTTAGACTTGTTCCTTAACATATGGTCTATCCTTGAAAATAATGCATGTGCTGAGGAGAAGAATGTGTATTCTGCAGCTGTTGGATGAAATTTTCTGTAAATATCTATTAGGTTCATTTGCTCTATAGTACAGATTAAGTCTGATATTTCCTTGTTTATTTTCTGTCTTGAAGGTCTACCTAATGACTAAAGTGGGGTGTTGAAGTGTCCAGCCATTATTGTATTGAGGTCTCTTTCTTTAGCTCATAATATTTGCTTCATTTATCTAGGTGCTTTAGTGTTGGGTGCATATATATTTTCAATTATTATATCCTCTTGATGAATTGATCTCTTTATTATTATATAACGACCTTTTAATTTCTTCCTACAGTCTTTTGTGGAAATCTATTTTTGTCTGGTGTAAGTATGGCTATTTCTGCTTTTTTTGGTCTCTATTGTCATGGGATAACTTTTTCCATCCTTTTATTTTCAGTCTAAATGTATCTTTGTAGGTAAAGTGTGTTTTTTTGTAGGTCACAGATTATTGTCCTGCTTCTCTATCCATTCATCCACTATTTTTCTTTTGACTGGAGTATTTAGTTCATTTAAATTCAATGTTATCAGTGATAAGCACTTACTCCTGCCATTTTTTATTTCTTTTCTGATTGATTTTTGCCCTCTCTTCCTTCTTTCCTTTCTTCCTGTCTTCCTTTTAGTGAAGGTGATTTCTCTTGAATTATAATCTAATTTCTTGCTTTTTACTTTTTGTACATCTTTGGTACACCTTTTGATTTGAAATTATCATGAGGCTTGAAAATAATATAATACATGATTTTAGACTGTGGACAATTTAACACTGGTTGCATAAACAAAGAAACAAGCAAAACAGAGGTTGGAGCCAAGATGGCCAAATAACAACGGCTCCAATCTACAGCTCCCAGAATGAGCGACACTGAAGATGGGTGAGTTCTGCATTTCCAAATGAGGTACTGGGTTCATCTCACTGGGGAGTGTCAGACAGAGGGTGCAGCACAGTGGGTGCAGTGCACCGAGCATGAGCAGAAGCAGGGTGAGACATCACTTCATCCAGGAAGCACAAGGGGTCAGGGAATTCCCTCTGCTAGTCAAAGAAAGGGGTGACAGATGGCACCCAGAAAATCGGGTCACTCCCACCCTAATACTGCACTTTTCCAATGGTCTTAGCAAATGGCACACCAGGAGATTATATCTCACGCCTGGCTTGGAGGGTTCTATGCCCACAGAGTCTCACTCATTGCTAGCACAGCAGTCTGAGATCAAACTGCAAGGTGGCAGTGAGGTTTGGGGAGGGTCCCCTGCCATTGCCGAGGCTTGAGTAGGTAAAGCAGCCAGGAAGCTTGAACTGGGTGGAGCCCACTTCAGCTCAAGGAGGCCTGTCTGACTCTGTAGACTCCACTTCTGGGGGTAGGACATAGCCAAACAAAAGGCAGTAGAAACCTCTGCAGACTTAAATGTCCCTGTCTGACAGCTTTGAAGAGAGTAGTGATTCTCCCAGCATGCAACTGGAGATCTGAGAATGGGCAGACTGCCTCCTCAACTGGGTCTCTGAACCCCTAGTAGCCTAACTGGGAGGCACCCACAGTAGGGGCGGACTGACACCTAACATGGCCGGGTAATCCTTTGAGACAAAACTTCCAGAGGAACGATCAAGCAGCAGCATTTGCAGTTCACCAATATCCATTGTTCTGCAGCCACCGCTGCTGATACCCAGGAAAACAGGGTCAGGAGTGGACCTCCAGCAAACTCCAACAGACCTGCAGCTGAGGGTTCTGACTGTAAGAAGGAAAAATAACAAACAGAAAGGACATCCACACCAAAAACCCATCTGTACGTCACCATCATCAAAGACCAAAGGTAGATAAAACCACAAATATGGGGAAAAAACAGAGCAGAAAAACTGGAAACTCTAAAAATCAGAGCTCCTCTCCTCCTCCAAAGGAACGCAGCTCCTCACCAGCAACGGAACAAAGCTGGAAGGAGAATGACTTTGAGGAGATGAGAGAAGAAGGCTTCAGATGATTAAACTACTCCAAGCTAAAGGAGAAAGTTTGAACCCATGGCAAAGGAGTTAAAAACCTTGAAAAAAAGTTAGATGAATGGCTAAGTAGAATAACCAATGCAGAGAAGTCCTTAAAGGACCTGATGGAGCTGAAAACCATGGCATGAAAACTAAGTGATGAATGCCGAAGCCTCAGTAGCTAATTCGATCAACTGGAAGAAAGGGTATCAGTGATGGAAGATGAAAAGAATGAAATGAAGCGAGAAGAGAAGTTAACAGAAAAAGGAATAAAAAGAAATGAACAAAGCCTCCAAGAAATATGGGACTATGTGAAAAGACCAAATCTACATCTGATTGGTGTACCTGAAAGTGACGGGGAGGATGGAACCATGTTGGAAAACAATCAGCAGGATATTATCCAGGAGAACTTCCCCAATCTAGCAAGGCAGGCCAACATTCACATTCAGGAAATACAGAGAATGCCACAAAGATACTCCTTGAGAAGAGCAACTCCAGGACACATAATTGTCAGATTCACCAAAGTTGAAATGAGGAAAAAATGTTAAGGGCAGCCAGAGACAAAGGTCAGGTTACCCACAAAGGGAAGCTCATCAGACTAACAGCTAATCTCTCTGCAGAAACTCTACAAGCCAGAAGTGAGTGGGGGCCAATATTCATCATTCTTAAAGAAAAGAATTTTCAACCCAAAATTTCATATCCAGCCAAACTAAGCTTCATAAGTCAAGGAGAAATAAAATCCTTTACAGACAAGCAAATTCTGAGAGATTTTGTCACCACCAGACCTGCCCTAAAAGAGCTCCTGAAGGAAACACTAAACGTGGAAAGGAACAACTGGTACCAGTCACTGCAAAAACGCCAAATTGTAGAGACCATCGATGCTAGGAAGTAACTGCATCAACTAACGAGCAAAATAACTAGCTAACATCATAATGACAGGATCAAATTCACACATAGCAATATTAACCTTAAATGTAAATGGGTTCAATGCTCCAATTAAAAGACACAGACTGGCAAATTGGATAAAAAGTCAAGACCAATCAGTGTTCTGTATTCAGGAAACCTATCTCATGTGCAGAGATACACACAGGCTCAAAATTAAGGGATGGAGGAAGATCTACCAAGCCAATAGAAAACAAAAAAAGGCAGGGGTTTCAATCCTAGTCTCTGATAAAACAGACATTAAACCAGCAAAGATCAAAAGAGACAAAGAAGGCCATGACATAATGGTAAAGGGATCAATTCAACAAGAAGAGCTAATTATCCTAAATATATATGCACCCAATACAGGGGCACCCAGATTCATAAAGCAAGTCCTTAGAGACCTACAAAGAGACTTAGACTCCCACACAATAATAATGGGAGACTTTAACACCCCACTGTTAATATTAGACAGATCAATGAGACAGAAAGTTAACAAGGATATGCAGGAATTGAACTCAGCTCTGCACCAGGTGGACCTAATAGACATCTACAGAACTCTCCACCCCAAGTCAACAGAATACACATTCTTTTCAGCACCACACCACACCTATTCCAAAATTGACCACATAGTTGGAAGTAAAGCTCTCCTCAGCAAATGTAAAAGAACAGAAGTTATAACAAACTGTCTCTCAGACCACAATGCAATCAAACTAGAACTCAGGATTAAGAAACTCACTCAAAACCACTCAACTACATGGAAACTGAACAACCTGCTCCTGAATGACTACTGGGTATATAACGAAATGAAAGCAGAAATAAAGATGTTCTTTGATACCAACGAGAACAAAGACACAACATACCAGAATCTCTGGGACACATTCAAAGCAGTGTGTAGAGGGAAATTTATAGCACTAAATGCCCACAAGAGAAAGCAGGAAAGATCTAATATGGACACCATAACATCACAATTAAAAGAACTAGAGAAGCAAGAGCAAACACATTCAAAAGCTAGCAGAAGGCAAGAAATAACTAAAATCAGAGCAGAACTGAAGGAAATAGAGACACAAAAAACCCTTCAAAAAGTCAATGAATCCAGGATCTTGTTTTTTGAAAAGATCAACAAAATTGATAGACCGCTAGCAAGACTAATAAAGAAGAAAAGAGAGAAGAATCAAATAGATGCAATAAAAAATGATAAAGGAGATATCACCACTGATTCCACAGAAATACAAGCTACCATCAGTGAATACAATAAACACCTCTATGCAAATAAACTAGAAAATCTAGAAGAAATGGATAAATTCCTCGACACATGCACCCTCCCAAAACTAAACCAGGAAGAAGTTGAATCTCTGAATAGATCAATAACAGGCTCTAAAATTGAGGCAATAATCAATAGCTTCCCAATCAAAAAAGCCTAGGAGCAGATGGATTCACAGCCGAATTCTACCAGAGGTACAAGGAGGAGCTAGTACCATTCCTTCTGAAACTATTCCAATCAATAGAAAAAGAGGGAATCCTCCCTAACTCACTTCATGAGGCCAGCATCATCCTGATACCAAAGCTGGGTAGAGACACAACAAAAAAAGAGAATTTTAGACCAATATCCTTTATGAACATTGATGCAAAAATCCTCAATAAAATACTGGCAAACCAAATCCAGCAGCACATCAAAAAGCTTATCCACCATAATCAAGTGGGCTTCATCCCTGGGATTCAAGGCTGGTTAAACATACGCAAATCGATAAATGTAATCCAGCATATAAACAGAACCAAAGACAAAAACCACATGATTATCTCAATAGATGCAGAAAAGGCCTTTGCCAAAATTCAACAACATTCATGGTAAAAACTCTGAATAAATTAGGTATTGATAGGACGTATCTCAAAATAATAAGAGCTATCTATGACAAACCCACAACCGATGTCATACTGAGTGGGCAAAAACTGGAAGCATTCTCTTTGAAAACTAACAGAAGACAGGGATGCCCTCTCTCACCACTCCTATTCAACATAGTGTTGGAAGTTCTGGCCAGGGAAATCAAGCAGGAGTTGGAAATAGAAGGTATTCAATTAGGAAAAGAGGAAGTCAAATTGTCCCTGTTTGCAGATGACATGATTGTATATCTAGAAAACCCCATTGTCTCAGCCCAAAATCTCCTTAAGCTGTTAAGCAGCTTCAGCCAAGTCTCAGGATACAAAATCCATGTACAAAAATCACAAGCATTCTTATACACCAATAACAGACAGGCAGCCAAATCATGAGTGAACTCCCATTCACAATTGCTTCAGAGAGAATAAAATACCTAGGAATCCAACTAACAAGGGATGTGAAGGACCTCTTCAGGGAGAGCTACAAACCACTGCTCAAGGAAATAAAAGAGGATACGAACAAATGGAAGAACATTCCATGCTCATGGGTAGGAAGAATCAATATCTTGAAAATGGCCCTACTGCCCAAGGTAATTTATACATTCAATGCCATCCCCCTCAAGCTACCAATGCCTTTCTTCACAGAATTTGAAAAAACTACTTTAAAGTTCATGTGTTTACTCTTTCTATTTGAGATTTTTGCACCCCATACTTACCATATTATGATATTCAATGTTTTTCCATGTGCTATTGCTAGTGAGTTCTGTACCTTCAGATGATTTCTTCTTGCTCGCTAACTTTTTTTCTTTTAGGTTAAGATATCCCTTTAGCATTTCTTGTAGGACAGGTCTGGTGTTAATGAAATCCCTCAGTTTTTGTTTGTCGGAAAAAGTTCTTATTTTTCCATCAAGTTTAAAGGCCGTTTTTGCCTGAGACATTATTCTAAAGTAAAAGTCTTTTTTTTCTTCAGCTTTTTTAATATGTCATGCCAGTCTCCCAGCCTGTAAATTTTCCCCTGAAAAGTCTGCTGTCAGATGTATTGGAGTTCCACTGAAAGTTATTTGTTTCTCTTCTCTCGATGCTTTTAGAATCACTTCTTTATCCTTAACTTTTGGGAGTTCAGTTAAGCGCCTTGAGGTGGTCTTCTTTGGGTTAAATCTGCTTTATGTTCTGTAACTTTTTGTTACTCGAATATTGATATCAAATGTTGAGGAATTGTTTAATATGATTTAATATTATTTATTTAAATAAATGTTCAACTCATCTCTTTTTCTACCTCCTCTTTAAGGCCAATAACTCTTAGATTTGCTATTTTGAGGCTATTTTTTAAATTCTATAGGCATGCTTTATTTTTTGTTCTTTTTTGTCTCCTCTGACTTTGTATTTTTAAACAGTCTGACTTCAAGTTCGCTAAATCTATCTTCTTCTTGGTCAATTCTTTTAAGTAATTCTGATCCATTCTTCAGTACGACAATAGCATTTTAACTTCAGAATTTCTGCTATATTCTTTTATTTCAATCTCTTTGTTAAATTTATCTGATAGAATTTTGAATTCCTTCTCTGTGTTATATTGTACATTTCTTTGAATTACCACAACCAGCTATTTTGGATTTCCTGTATGAAAGGTCACATATCTCTGTTTTTCCAGGATTTGTCCCTGGTGCTTTACTTGGCTTGTTTGGTGAGGTCGTGTTTTCCTGGATGGCCTTGATACATGTAGATGTTCATCTGTATCTGGGCATTGAAGAGTTCAGTCTTTACTGTAGTCTTCACAGTCTGGGCTTGTTAGTGCCCATTATCTTTGGGAACACTTTCCAGGTATTCAAAGAAACTTGGGTCCCAAACCCAATAGCACAGTAGTTTATGCAAACACATAGAGGTACTGCCTTGGTGGCCTTGAATTAACATCAAGAAAAATTCTCTTGATTTATCAAGTAAAGACTCTTGTTCTCTTCCCTTACATTCTCTCAAATCAGCAGTCTCTCTTTCTGTGCTGAGACATGTGAAGCTGGGGTTGGGGTAACATAAGCACTCCTGTGGCCACCACCACTGAGACTGTGCTGGTTCACACCTGAAGTAGGCACAGAACTTGGTCTCACGCAAGACCCACTGCAACACTACTTGGCTACCATATGTTTATTCAAAGCCCTAGGACTCTGTGATTATTATGTGGCAAAGCCAGCCAGGTTTGTGTCTCTGCCTATAGGGTGGTAAGTTCCCCTAGCCATGAGTGGGTCCACAGATGCTACCTGGGAGCCAGAGATTAAAGCATAGAATCTTCAAAATTTACCTGCTCTTCTATTTTACTGTAGCTAACCTGGCACTTAGGGAATAAGACAAAGTATTTTCTACTCTTCCTTGCCCTGTCTGCAGGCAGAAGAGCCTCTTCTATGACTGCCAACACTACTGGCCCATAGGGGGTTTCCACCAAATCATCATCACTTTCTCACTTAAAGCCCAAGCACTCTTTAATTAGCTTGTGATAAATTCTGCAATGTCTGGGACTCGACCTTTGGTCCAGGGCAAGCGCAGAAATGCTGACCAAGAAGACCTTAGGCCTGGACTCAGGGACTCTAAGAATCCGCTTGGTGCTCTACCCCACTGTGCTGAGCTGGCCTATCAGGTGCAAAACAGAGGTCCCTTTACTTTCCCCCCTGCTTTTCTCAAACAGAAGTCTTTCACCATAGCTCCCACAGCTGGAAATGTACTGGGTCACACCTGAAGTTGGCGCTTCTCAGAGCCCAATGCCCATGTTGTATTACCTGGTTGTCACTGTTTTTTATTCTGGGTACAGGGGTTCTTTAGTCAGCAGGTGATGAATTCTGCCAGATCTTTACTGACATGGCAGCACTGAGTTTAATGCAAAGTCCTCCAGTCACTGTGCTCTCCCTCTCCCAAATTCACAGGTTTCTCTGTGTTGTGTGGCTGCTGCTAGGTGGGAGTGGGGGAGTGGTGTTGTGAGCACTCCCTTAGCTTCTCTGGCTGCTGTCTCAGTAGACTCCATTCTCCCCACCCTCCACATTCCACTGGCTCTGAGCCCAGCTCAGAATATGACTTGCCTAATAATTGAAGTCCTTGTGGCTTAGACTTCCCCTTAAGTTCTCTTAGAGTCCAATAGCACGTCAACTCATGATGGCAAGACTTGCAAAAACTGAAGCTCCCAATACTGGGATGGGAGGTTTTCCTCTTTGTAAGGCCAATACAAGTGCTCCCCCCATTGGGAGATGTCAGCTGAGTACAGTCTGGTTCTGCTTTTCACTGTGACAGGGTAGTACTGAGTTTATTGCAAAGCCTCACAAACTATGTTCTCCCTCTCCCAAACATACTATCTCTGCACGACGTAGCCACTACTGGTGGTTGAAAAAGAGGTGGCATCCTTGCTTCTAGACCGTCTTTTATTTGTTTGTCTTCTCCAATGTCTGTTTCAGTGATATGAAGTTAATACCAGGTACTGTGATTGCTCACCCAATTTTTGGTCCCTTTGACAGTGCTTCTTGAATGTAGTGAGTTGTGAAAATTTGGTGTTTTTGTGTGGTGGATGAGAATGTAGGCTTCTCTTCTGCCCTCTTATTCTGTCTCTGCCTTAAATTTTTTAGATTCAGGGAGTATATTTGCAGGTTTATTACCTGGATATATTGTGTGATGCTGAGCAATGTGGGATATTATTGATCCCATCACCAAGGTAGTGAGCATATATTGTGGGATATATTTGATCCCATCACCTAGGCAGTAAGCATAGCACTCATAGTTTCTCACCCCCTGCCCTCCTCCTTTCCTCCTTCATCTAGTAGTTCTCAGTGTCTATTGTTGTCATCTTTATATTCATGAGTACCCCATGTTTAGATCCTACTTATAGGCAAGAACATGTGGTATTTGGTTTTCTGTTCCTGTATTAATTTCCCTAGGATAATGGCCTCCAGACGTATGCATGTTGCTGCACAGGACATGATTGTATTCTTTTTAATGTGTGCATAGTATTTTATGGTGTATATGTGGCACATATTTCTATCCAATTTATTGATTAACACATAAGTTAATTCCATGCCTTCCCTATTGTGAATAGCAACATGACGCATATACAAGTGCATTTGGGTTTCTTTTTGTAGAATTTTTAATTTTATTTTGGACATATACTCAGTAATGGAATTGCTGGTTGAATGGTACTTCTGTTTTAAATTCTTTGAAAAACCTCCAAACTGCTTTTCACAGTGGCTGAACTAATTTACATTCTCAACAACAGTGTATAAGCATTTCATTTTCTCTGAAGTCTAACAAGAATTTGTTATTTTTTTACTTTTTAATAGTAGCCATTCTGACTAATATGAGATGGTATCTCACATTGATTTGCATTTATCTGATGATTAGTGAAGTTGAACATTAAGAAAACAACTCCATTAAAACATTGACAAGGGACATAAGTAGACACTTCTTAAAAGAAGATGAGCCGGGCACAGTGGCTCAGACCTGTAATCCCAGCACTTTGGGAGGCTGGGGTGAGCGGATCACAAGGTCAGATCGAGACCATCCTGGCTAACACGGTGAAACCCTGTCTCTACTAAAAATGCAAAAAGTTAGCCGGGCGTGGTGGCGGGCCCCTGTAGTCCCAGCTACTCAGGAGGCTGAGGCAGGAGAATGGCGTAAACCCGGGAGGCAGAGCTTGCAGTGAGCCAAGATCGCACCACTGCACTCCAGGCTGTGCGACAGAGCGAGACTCCGTCTCAAAAAAAAAAAAAAAAAAAGATATAGAAGTGGGATTCTTATTCTATCACAATAAGCTGTCTTTCCTTTGCAAATACAAAATCAAATCATTCGAAAAATCACTTTAGTTGTAGGGATTGACAGCATGTTTCCTCTTCTCTATCTCCTTTCCTCTTTTGTGATTTTTTTCTGATCACTATCAATCCGCTCAGCAGAGTAATCTCCATTCTTACTCTGTGTGAATTGTGGTGATGAGCTAGTCAGCTCTCTTAAAATCACTAACAAAAAGTTTTAAATTTCCTAGTTAGTAGTAAGTTTTTAGCATGCCACAAGATACTCTTAGAACAAGGACTTCTGGTCCAGGCATTGTGGATTATGATGATTAGTTCTATGGATTTCTATAAGCTTTGAAATTAAGAGGTAAAAATCTAAAATAAATCGGACTTCATGTTATTTATACATTCATTGGGTTTGTTAATTATTCCACAGGAAAACAGATGAAAGACTTTTGTAGAATTCAATTCTGCTTCACCATATTTAGGGTTACAAGAAGGGAATTATATTGACGTAATTGACAGACTGAATTAACCTCAGTCATCGCATGTGATTTTTCTAGAGTTTTTTTTTTAATGGTGCTGACATTCTCCTCAATATGTCCATGCTTAGTTGGGTTTCTGGGGGAGAGATGAGTAGTTAGTACTACCCATCTAAAACATAATGTTCATTAGTTGGAATGATGGTGTGATATGATAGTCTTCGAGATGATGCCCTCAATTTCTTTCCTCCCTGCATGCACATGCTGCTCTTTACATTGACAGTTAGAGTCGAATCTCCCATTTCTTGAATCTGTGCTGATCACAATGACTTGCTTTACCAATAGGATGGAGCAGAAGTTGTATTCTAGAACCTCCAAGGCTAGGTCCTAAGAAGCTTTGTGGTATTTGCCTGTGTGCTTTGGGAGCAACTACCAAGTTGTGAGCACTCCAGATAACATGGAGAGGTCAGATAGGCATCACACCCAGCAGCCAATATGAACTGCCAGCCATGTAAGTGACCCGTCTAGGCTCTTTAGTCTAGTTGAGCTTTCAGGTGAGTTCAGCAGCAGCCAACCAACCGCAAATGCAAGAAAGACTCCAAAAGAGAACTTTTGTAGTGCCCATCAACCCACAAAACCATGAGAAATAACATTATTTATAATCACTAAACAATAACAATAAACAATATTAAACTATAAATAATTCCTTAAGTTTTGGAATGGCTTACTATTCAGCAAGAGATAGCTAGAACAAGTACTAAATGTTGCACAATACTGAATAAGTGTAAATTTAGTTGTATAATATACTTCTACATTTTAAAGGCATTGACATTTCTGGAAAGAGTGCAAAAGTGATCACTGACTAAATGGTTCCCAAGAGAAGTTGTCTGTTGTATCTCAACATCACCATTTGCCAATGGGAGCTGTATTTTGTTTTTGGAAATATATATATTTTAATGTTCATTTTAAAAAAATACTAACAATTTTTTAGAAAGGCATATGCTATTTTGCAAAAAATTTGAGCAAACCAGAGAAGTGTAAACTTTAAGGCTCTAATCATATTTTTATGCCATTTAACCCATAAATCCAAAGTCTGATGACAAACATGTTTATCTAATACTGATATTTGGATAAATAAATTAAACTAACAGTTTTCTTTTTAAATGATAGGCCTTATAATTGATATGATGTTGAGATGGCTGCAGTGGATGGGCTCATCACCATAATAATATTTTCTCTTTAATACTTTTTTAGAACATTAAGTGACAAACAAAGGGTCTAAAACTGCGTTACACAGCAGTAATAAAATCAGAGTGACACTTACTTTGCAGCAGCAGGACTGGAATTCTTGCTGTTGGGGTTGGTGGCAGCAAACTCAATTATGGGTGTCTTCTGCTTCATGCTTGGATGGTGTGTTGGAACATTTCCTGTTTAGAACTTTCTAACACTTCCTGACTAGAGCTGTTTAAAATAGAAACAAACCCCTCTGATTTTGAATTCAGCCTGTTTATTGTTATGATTTGTTCATATGTTTCTACTCTTTAGACCGTGGCTTTCTTGTAGACAGAAGTTGTATCTTATACCTCTTTTTGTTCAGCAGCGGTGTGCCTGGCACCTAGTTGAATTGTCAGGTTCGTTGAATAAGTAAAGCAAAATTATACTAGAAGTAAATTATTAAATTTATCAATTTTACTCGGAAAATATATAGCTAAGTATGACGTATGAATCAATTCACTCACTGATTCAACAAACATTTTTTAATTGACTACAATATGCTATGAGCTAGGAATATGGCAGTAAACAAATCACACCTTGTCTCAAACTTCAGTGGATCCAGGAGTCTCTAGAAGTTTAATTCTTGCTCAATCAGCAATTCCTTTTCAGTGAAGACTTGACAAGAAGGTTTGAGAAGGCAAGAGTGTGTGAACTCAGCAGATGTTTGTGATGCACCTACTGTGTGCCAGACACTGTAGTGTCACAGGTTTTGCCTGTGTCTCCTAGGAAAGGTGAAAACTAAGGACAATATTTTAAACAAGAAATAATGCCAAGTATGCCACATGATGGAGAGGGAAAGCACTGGGTCCCAAGAGTATAACAAGCACTGAGCCTAGCGTAGGGTCCAGGCGTCTCTGGCATCTTGCCTTCCTAGGTCGTGGTTGTCCCTCCTTGTTGCTCCTGCTGTCTTCTTCAGTTACATCTGCTTCTCTGCATTTCCTCATTTTACAGTGTGTGAGATGCAGTCATCTCTGAACAGGAATAGGCAACTGTGCACCTGTTACACCGTGCTTGATGCTCTGCATTGATGTACACTGGGCCCAGGTTTTCCTGGTGGACTGCTTGGGCCGTTCTTGTCATCTGGCTCTGAAGTCTTTGTTCACAGATGTGCACTTGCCAGATGGGGAAGCCAGAGATCTGGGGTCCTCTGATGAGGCCACACTCGCCCTGCTTATCTTCCCTGACATACCTAACAGATGAAGCTCAGGTGGACGACGCACCTCAGGCCACAGTGTGGACTGTTGTAACCAAGCGAGTTATAGAGGAAAGCCAACCTTTGAGACAAATTAAGGAGTCCTTTATTAGCGAGCAACCGAGAGGCAGCTAACGCTCAAAATTCTCTTGGCCCCGAGGAAGGGGCTGGTTTTGTTTTTATACCGTGGTCTAAATAGGGGAGGGGGGAGTTTAGCTGAAGCAATTTTTACAGAAGCAGAGCTAGAGCTAGCAAACAGTTAAAAAAATTAATTGGTTACAAAAGCAGTTACAAAAAAAAATAAATAAACCATTCCAGGTGCAGGGGCTTAAACTATCATAAAGAGAGAAATACAGGGGTTTTGGGTGCCATTCACTGAGCACGTCCCCAGGAGCTGCTGGTGCAGCTTGCCTCAATATCTTAATAGTAAGTGCATTCCTGGACGTGCTTTGAGTCAGTTTACACTAGTTATGCCCTTAAGGAAGGGAGGTAAAGGGGGCTGCACATGAAGAAACTAAAATGGAGTCTGTCCGGCTCTCTCTCCACTAGGAGAGAGTCACTCAGGTTTAGACAAGGTAGGGTATCACAGGACCATGTTCAATTATTCAAACTCCAGCTTCAACTCTCTTTCTTATTGCTCTCTTAGGACAGTATATTTAGATGGGAGTAAATGAAAGTGATGTTATTAGGGGATAAGATTAAAATCAATCCCACTTGTAAAAAAGGAATTAGATTATTTGTGAGCTATAATACTTTTTTTTTAGTTAAGAATCACCTTAAAACTTGGAACCTGGATACAAGATAATTCCTTCATTCTGGAAACGTTTAGTAGCAAACTATATGCCAGGACTGTGATAATTACTAGGGATACATGATTGAATATATAGCATAAGATGCCTTGGAGTGTCAGATAGTTTCATATAAATGGCTCATGCAGTATATAGACAGTGTGGTAAAAAGAGACTACTGAGATGTGCAGAGGACAGACAATAAAGGGTCTTTGAATGGTAGATGAATGTGTTTGGACTTTTCATTCAGGGCTGTTGAAGTTTTTGAAGGTCAGTTGTCTTAGAGTTTTGGTGTTTTCAAGCCCTGCTAAGTACTTTGTTTCTAGCTGATGATTGGCCATCATTACTGATCATCTATTGGCTCTGTCTGATTCAGCAATCCCACGGCTGAGTATTTATGCAAAGGAAAAAAATCAATGTATCAGAAATATAACTGTACTTTTATATTTGTTGCAACACTATTCACAGTAGCACAGATATAAAATCAACCTAAATGTCCATCAACAAATGATTGGAAAAAGAAAATATAGAAAATATACACAATGAAATACTATTCAGGAGTAAAAAACAATAGAATCATAATTTTTGCAGACACATGGATGGAACTGGAGGCCATTGTTGTAAGTGAAGCAAGCCAGACACAGAGTAAACATCGTATTTTATCACTCATAAGCGGGTGCTAAAAGATGTGAGGGTATTGATGTAGAGAGTGGAATGATAATGGAGACTCAGCAGGGTGAGGGGATGGAAGGGGTGAACAGTGAGAAATTACTTAATGGGTACAATGTGCATTATTCCAGTGATGGATACCTAAAAGCCCTGACTTCACCACTATGCCATCCATGCTTACAGCAAAATTGCACTTGGAACCCATAAATTTATACACAAAAAGTCTTAGACCTCTCTCTCTTCTCTCATAAGCCTCAGAGCTCAGTGATCCCCTTGGATCTCCTCAGCCTGCTGAGTTTTAACTTTCCTACCTAAGGTGATTTTGGGCAGAGACAAGGGAGTGTTTCAGGAAGATGTTCTCAGGCACACACTTCTAAAGAAACATTGGAGACTCTTCTAGTGGCTTTTATCTAGTCACTGCTTTAAGCAAGGAATAAAATATCTGTGGCTAAAATTTTAAAAACTATGTTTCCCATTCACCCTTTAGACCTGACAGAAGAGATTTTAGGATTTTAAGGGAACAGCTTTTTCCTGACCCAAAAGGGCACAGTAGTGCAAGGGCAATGTCACATAGGTACCTTTTCCCCATCTGTAAAATAACTTTCCGATACTATTCCCACAGCTGGAATCAGTACAATGTTTTGACTGAGGTATTGGAAAAGCCTATGAGCTCATTATCATTTGAACATATGAGTAATGTAAAATTTGGCAGAATTTTATTTGAAAGGATTATTTATGCCATTTTTAATTAACTGATTTATATTATGGTTATTTCAAACAATAAAAATCAGGTTATTGTGTCGTAAGCTAGAAATATTTACAATAACACATGGTCTTGATTATCTCACATGATGAATTGAAGATTAAAGCAAAATAATTTAGGGAATTCTGTGACAGTTTCTGTTTCACGTTGTTTAATAATGACTTCAAACTCTTGTACATATATGGAGAACTCCTGACTAAAGAGAATTTTTTTGTCCATTGTGCTATGTTTCTGTAACTTTTTAAGATCTAGAGGAACACATATTTAGTCTCAGTTGGCCAACTAAATGTTATGGAGTCAGCTTCTGTGTTACATGCTGAGCATTGAAGGGATGGTGGAGACAAGGCTGCTGCCCTCGCAGAGTCTGTGGAGAATACCTGATGGAGTGTGGCAGGGAACATGCTGGAAGCATCCCAGGATGCCAAAAGTGCACACAGATGGAACACCTGCCTTAGAAGTGGGGAGGGTCAGACAAGGAGAGTTGTCAGGAAAAGCGAGGAAAATTTAATCAGCAGGAATAGAAACACACTTGAGAAATCCATGTGGAATGAAAAGAGAATGGCTGAGCAGCAACAGATTGTCAAAAAGGAAATCAAGAAGGAGCAGCCAAAGAGGTGGATGGAGAACCACGAGAAAGAAGGTGACACAGGAAGGGGAATATCACACTCTGGGGACTGTTGTGGGATGAGGGGAGGGGGGAGGGATAGCATCAGGAGATATACCTAATGCTAGATGACGAGTTAGTGGATGCAGCACACCAGCATGGCACATGTATACATATGTAACTAACCTGCACAATGTGCACATGTACCCTAAAACTTAAAAGTATAATAAAAAGAAATCATTAAAAAAAAAAAAAAGAAAGAAGGTGACACTGAAGCCAAGGGAAAGAAAGTGTTTCAACATTTCTGGGAAAAAAAATGACATTCTCTGTCTTAACCTTGTTATTTTATGAGTCATATAGCCACATTCCAGGTTCTGAGAAGTCCAGCACTAAACATGTTTCTTTTTGTTTGCTTAACCCAGCATTTGCCAGAATAATCTGGGCTCAGTGTGAGTGTGTGTGCGTGTGTGTGTGTGTGTGTGTGCACCTGTGTGTTCCACTAATATCTCTCTGGGGCTAGTGCTCTATACAACATAATTTTTAAAACACTGGTTTTATCCATCTTATTATGTTCAGCTGCAGCAATACTTACAAAAGTCAACTTTGATTATGTGTCTTAGTTACTAAAGAAAACAAAACAAACTAATGAATAAAGCCCACCTGGCAGTGGCTCCTCACTACCTGTACGATGGAGCCAACCTGGTTTGGCCTCCATGCCCTATGCCGACCTGGCCATGCTGTCTTCTGCCTGCTGCTTTGCCTCCCCTTTCCTCCTGGAGAAGGTAGAGATGCTCTGACATTTGGCTCGTCTGGAACATGTGTCCTTCTCCTCATGTGGACCATGTTTTCCTGAGTCCACTTTAATCTCGTTTAAGGGTATAGAACTTTACTTAAAGCTTCTGGTCAGGTCTCACTCTCTATGCTGTCTTCCTGCCACTTCTACAATGTACATACTTTACTGATACATTAATTATGCTATATCAGCCAAGGGTTTTACTTCTATATCATTTTATATCATCATCTTTTTTTCTTAGAGCTTAGTTCACTTATTTATTAAGTCTTTCCACACTATAATTGTATGTCATATAATTTTATATTTATTTTCATTGGTGTTTATATATCTTTTCTGTAAAAATGGAGGCTTTCTAAATAGATCTTCATTAACGTTGAGAGAACAAGGTTTTAAGTCTTGGTCTCAGCCAAAAGGAGTTCCCCGCATTACCAGGAGGGAAAGAAACACTTGCATTGTTGCATTAGATATTCTTACAGAGAAAGAGAACCATGTGTAATGGAAAATTGCTAACTTTGCCTCAAGGGGACTAGGTTGATTCAGTGAGAAAGTTTCTATTGGTTTAGAAAGCATAGTTCTGAGTATTCTAGGAGAAGGAGAAAAGTTAGAGTAGGGCATAAGAAGTAATGCCCATATCAAAAAGTTAGAAAGATCTCAAATTAACAACCTAACATCACAACTGAAAGAATTAGAGAAGCAAGAAGAACTCAACCACAAAGCTTATAGAAGACAAGAAATAACTGCAATCAGAGCTGAACTGAAAGAAATTGAGACAAGAAAAACTGTTCAAAAGATCACTTAATCAAGATTTTATGAAAAAAATAATAAGATAGATAGGGCACTAGCTAGACTAATAAAGAAGAAAAGAGAAAAGATTCAAATAAACAAAATTAGAAATGATGAAGGGAATGTTACCACTGACCCCAGAGAAATAAAAATAACAACCAGCAACTACTATGAACACCTCTACACACACAAAGTAGAAACCCCAGAAGAGATGAATAAATTCTTGGACACGTACACTCTCTCAAGACTGAACCAGGAAGAAATTTAGTCTCTGAACAGACCAATTATGAGCTCCAAAAATTGAATCCATAATAAATAGCCTACCAACCCCCCCCAAAAGCCCAGGACCTGATAGATTAACAAATTTTAACAGAGGTACAAAGAAGAGCCAGTACTTGTCCTACTAAAACTATTTCAAGAAATACAGGAGGAGGGACTCTTCCCCAACTTGTTCTACAAGACCAGAATCATCCTGATACCAAAGCCTGGAAGTGACACAACAAAAAAAGAAAACTTCAGGCCAGTATCCTTGATGCACATCCATTCAATAAGCTACAACAAAATACTTGCAAACTGAATTTAGCAACACATCAAAAGGCTAATTCACCATAGTGAACTAAGCTTCTTCCCTGGAATGAAAGTTTGGTCCATCATGGGCAAATCAATAAAATGTGATACGTAACATAAATAAAACTAAAGATAAGAACCACGTGATTGTCTCAACAGATGCAGAAAAGGCTTTCAGTAAAATTCAACAAAGCTTCATGTTAAAAATTCTCAATAAATGAAGTATCGAAAGAACATACCTCAAAATAATAAAGGCCACCTATGACAAACTCACAGCCAACATTATACTAAATGGGCAAAATCTGGATGCATTCTCCTTGAAACCCACACAAGACAAGGATGCCCTCTCTCACTACTCCTATTCAACATAGTATTAGAAGTCCTTTCTGGAACAATCAGACAAGAGAAAGAAATGAAGCATATTTAAATAGAAAGGGAAGTCCAACTATCTCTGTTTGCAGACAACATAATTCTCTATCTAAATCCTATAGTTGTGACCCAAAAGCTCTTTAAGCTGATAAACAACTTCCACAAAGTTTCAGGACACAAAATCAATGTACAAAATTTGCTAGCATTCCTATACACCAAGAAGAGTCAAACTAAGAGCCAAATCAGAGAGGCAATTTTATTCACAATTTCCACAAAAAGAATAAAACATGTACGAATACAGCTAACCAGGGAGTTGAAAAATCTCTACAACGAAAATTACAAAACACTGCTCAAAGAAGTCAGAGAAGACATAAACAAATGAAAAATCATTCCATGTTAATGGAGAGAAAGAATTAATATAATTTAAATGGTGTACTGCCTAAAGCTATTCCTATTAAACTACCGATGACATGATTCATGGAAGTAGAAAAAAGCTATTTAGAAATTCACATAGAACCAAGAAAGAATCTAAGTAGCTAAGGCAATCCGAAGCAAAAAGAACAAAGCTTGAGGCATCACATTACCCGACTTCAAACTATACTATAGCACTATAGTAACCAAAGCAGCATGGTACTAGTACAAAAACAGACATATACACCAATGGAACAGAATAGAGAAGTTAGAAATAAGACCACATACCTACAAGTATCTAATCTTTGACAAAGCTGGCAAAAACAAGCAATGGGGAAAAGATTCCCTATTCAATAAATGATGCTGGAATAACTGGCTAGCCATATGCAGAAGATTGAAGTTGGACTTCTTCCTTATACCATATGCAGAAATCAACCCAAGATGGGTTAAATACTTAAATGTAAAACCCAAAACTATAAAAGCCCTGGAAGGCAACCTAGGCAATACCATCCTGGACGTAGAAACAGGCAAAGATTTCATGATAAAGACACCAAAAACAACAAATGCAGCTATTGACAAGTGGGATCTAATTAAACTTAAAAGCTTCCACTCAGCAAAAGAAATTATCAATAGAGTGAACAGACAACATATAGAATGAGAAAAAAATATTTACAAACTATGTATCTGACAAAGATCTAATATTCAATATAAGGAACTTAAATTTACAAGAGAAAAACAAAAAACCCTATTAAAAAGTGGCCAAAGCCCTGACTTCTGAATGGCACTTCTGGACCCAGCCAGGGACTGAGGGATCTCACTGCCCTAAAGGAAAGAACACAGGCCTGTCTGGCTTTGCCACCTGCTAATTGTAGAGACCAAGGCCTTGAGTGAACATAGGCAGTCGTCAGAAAGTGCATGCAGCAGAACTTGAGCAAGACCCTGTGCTGTGCTAGCTTCAGGTCTGATCCAGGGCAGTCATAGTGGTGGTGGCCAGGGGTGCTTGTGTCTTTCTTCTCCCAGCTTTAGGTGGCTTAGAATAGAGAGAAAGACTCTGTATCTTTGAGAGAAAATAAGGGTAGGGAAAAAGTCTCTGGCTAGTAATCCAGAAAATTCTCCTGGATCTTGTTGAAGGCTGTCAAGGTGGTACTTCTCTGAGTCTGGAAGAATTACTGCATTATTGGGTATAAGGTGCCCCATAAAGAAGACATGGCTTAGATCACAACACCCAACTCTTTTCAAATATGTGAAAAGCCTTCCCAAGAAAGACAGCTACAAATAAGCACAGACAGTGAAGACTACAATAAATACTCACCTATACTCTTTTTAAATTTTATTTTTTAAACCTCTCATATGGTGCTACATGCCCAAGATTTTAATGTCCAGACACTGAAGAACATCTACTAGCATCAACACCATCCAGGAAAACATGACCTCACCAAGTGAACTAAATAAGGTACCAGGGACAAATCCTGGAGAAAAAGAGATATGTGACCTTTCAGACAGAGAATTCAAAATAGCTGTATTAAAAAAAAAAAAAAAAACTGAAAGAAATTTAAGGTAACAAAGTATAGAAATTCCAAATTTTATCAGCTAAACTCAACAAAGAGATTGAAATAGTTACAGCAAATTAAGCAGAAATTCTGGAGCTGAAAAATGCAATTGGCATGCTGAAGAATGCATGAGAGCCATGTAATAGCAGAATGGATCAAGCAGAGAAGACAGGCTCTTTAAAAATACATAGAAGAGACAAAAGAAACAGAATAAAAACAACAAATCATGCCTACAGGATCTAGAAAATAACCTCACAAAGACAGATCTAAGAGTTATTGCTTTTAAAGAAGATGTAGAGAAAGAGGCAGGGGAGGATCTAGAAAATCGCCTCACAAAGACAAATCTAAGACAGACCCAAGCCACGTCCTGTAAGCAGGCTCGGCGCCATTGCTTCCGCCACAGGGCAGAAGCACTCTACAACTTTCAGGGCCCACAACACCAAGAGGATAGGGAGGAGCCAACAAAGGAATGACGCTAGGAAACGCATACCCAAAGCAACCAACCAATCCAAGTAAAAACATGTCTCAGGGCTCCGTTGGTTTTCTCGCGTGGGCAGCCCTGCCCCCCGTTCCAGCCCGGCCCAGGTACCCTCGACCCTACCCTCGCCAAAGGGGCCCCTATCTACCAGAGCAGAGCCTCCCTCTCCAAGGCTCTGTTGCTCCCCCTCTCTAGCTCCCTCAACCTCTCCCTTTCTCTACTTCCCTCTCCACCTTGCGTGCTCTCTCTCTCAATCTCCCCGGTTCTTCTCTGTCTTTCTCTCGATCGCTGTTTCTCACTCTTCTTTCGTTTCTATCTCTCCATCTCTCTGTCCCTTGTTCTTCTTCAAGCTGTCTGTGTCTTTGTGTGTCTGTGTGTGTGCTTGTGTTCCCGCGCGTGCGCCCGTGTGTGTCTGTGTGTTTGGGAGTGGGTTTGCTAGTGACTGTGGTGGGGTGTGTCTGGATGTCCGTCAGAACCTTTGTGCCGGGATCAGGCTGCCAACTCTTAGCCAGCGCTTGGGCGTCACAGTTGCCGTAATAGTCTCACACACGCCAAGTGTATGGATCTCGTTTATTTTCATGTAGACAAGGAGAGCAAAACCACAGAGAAAAGAAATGTCCCACGCATCAGGTCTTGACGAAGAATTCCTGTTTCCTGAAAAATGGGGAGTCTCCAATATAGCCTGTTTGAAAACTGGAAAGGAGAGCACCGACACGATGCAGGTCTTCCATGTATTCCTGGAAGTTTCTGGGGCCCCACAGAGGTCGGGAAACAAACAGTCAACATGATCACACTTTCCGGGGTGCAGAGACTTGTCCTGGGCCCACTGTCTGGCATGCCCTAGTGAGATGAACACAGAACCTCAGAAGGAAATGCAGAAATCACCCGTCTTCTGCGTCGCTCACGCTGGGAGCTGTAGACTGGAGCTGTTCCTATTCGGACATCATCCGGAGAACCTTCCTTGTCATGTGTGCATTCATTTCACAGAGTTGAACATTTCTTTTGATTGAGCAGTTTTAAAACACTGTTTTTGTAGAATCTCAAAGTGTATATTTGGAGTGATTTGAGGCCTATTGTGGAAAAGGAAATTTCTTCAAATAAAAACTACACAGAAGCATTATGAGGAACTTCTTTGTGATGTGAGTCTTCATCTCACAGAGTTGACATATTCTTCTGATTGAGCAGTTTTGAAACACTCTATTTGTAGAATCTGCAAGTGGATATTTGGAGCGCTTTGAGGCCTATTGTGACAAAGCAAATATCTTCACATAAAAACTACAAAGAAGCATTCTGAGAAACTATTTTGTGATGTGTGCATTCATTTCCCAGAGGTGAAACTTTCGTTTGATTGAGCCATTTTGAAACACTCTTTTGTAGAACCTGCAAGTCGATATTTGCAGCCCTTTAAGGCCTAGTGTGGAAAAGGAAATATCTTCACATAAAAACTACATAGAAGCATTCTGAGAAACATCTTTGTGATGTGTGCATTCATCTCACAGAGTTGAACAATTTTTTGATTGAGCAGTTTTGAATCTCTCTTCTTGCAGAATCTGCAGGTGGATATTTGGAGCCCTTTGAGGCCTACTGTGGAAAAGCAAATAACTTCACATAAAAACTACACAGAAGATCCCTGAGAAACTTCTTTGGGATGTTTTTATCCAACTCACAGAGTTGAACCTATCTTTTGATTCAGCAGTTTGAATCTCTCTTTTTGCAGACTCTGCAGTTGGATATTTGGAGCCCTTTGGGGCCTATGGTGGAAAAGGAAATATCTTCAAATAAAAATTACACAGAAACATTCTGAGAAACTTCGTTGTGATGTGTGCATTCATCTCACAGAGTTGAACAATTTTTTGATTGAGCAGTTTTGAATCTCTCTTCTTGCAGAATCTGCAGGTGGATATTTGGAGCCCTTTGAGGCCTACTGTGGAAAAGCAAATAACTTCACATAAAAACTACACAGAAGCTCCCTGAGAAACTTCTTTGGGATGTTTGTATCCAACTCACAGAGTTGAACCTATCTTTTGATTCAGCAGTTTGAATCTCTCTTTTTGCAGACTCTGCTATTGGATATTTGGAGCCCTTTGGGGCCTATGGTGGAAAAGGAAATATCTTCAAATAAAAATTACACAGAAACATTCTGAGAAACTTCGTTGTGCTGTGTGCATTCATCTCACAGGGTTGAACCTTTCTTATGATTGAGCAGTTTAGAAACACTCTTTTTGTAGAATCTGCAAGTGGAAAATTGGAACGCTTTGAGGCTGACCGTAGAAAAGCAAATATCTTCACATAAAAACTACACAGAAGCATTCAGAGAAACTTCCTTGTGATGTATGCATTCAACTCACAGAGTTGAACCTATCTTTGATTGAGCTGTTTTGAATCACTCTTTTTGCAGAATCTGCAGGTAGATATTTGGATCCTTGGAGGCTTACTGTGGAAAAGGAAATATCTTCACATAAAAACTATACAGAAACATTCTGAGAAACTACTTTGGGATACGTGCATTCAACTCACAGAGTTGAACCTATCTTTTGATTGAGCAGTTTTGAATCACTCTTTTTGCAGAATCTGCAAGTGGATATTTGGAAGTCTTTGCAGCCTAAGGTGGAAAAGGAAATATCCTCAAATAAAAACTACACAGAAGGATCCTGAGAAACTTCTTTGTGATGTGTGCATTCATCTCAGAGAGTTGAACCTTTCTTTTGATTCAGCAGTTTTGACACACTTTTTGTAGAATCTGTAAGTGCATAATTGGAGCCCTTTGAGGCCTATTGTGGAAAAAGAAATATCTTCACATAAAAACTACTCAGAAACAATCTGAGAAACTTCTTTGTGATGTGTACATTCAATTCAAAGAGATGAACCTATCTTTTGATGGACCAGTTTAGAATCTCTCTTTTTGTAGAATGTGCAAGTGGATATTTGGAGCCCTTTGTGCCCTATGGTAAAAAGGAAATATCTTCATATAAAAACTACACAGAAGCATTCTCAGATACTACTTCGTGATGTGTGCATTCAACTCACAGAGTTGAACCTGTCTTTTGATTGAGCAGTTTTGAATCTCTCTTTTTGTAGAATCTGCAAGTGGATATTTGGAGCGCTGTGAGGTCTACTGTAAAAAATCAAATATGTGCACATGAAAACTACAAAAAAGCATTCTGAGAAACTTCTTTGTGATGTGGGCATTCAACTCACAGAGTTGAGCCTATCTTTTAATTGAGCAGTTTTGAATCTCTCTTTTTGCAGTATCTGCAAGTGGATAATTGGAGTACTTTCAGGTCTAACGTGGAAAAGCAAATATCTTCACACAAAAACTACACAGAAGCATTCTGAGAAACTTCTCTGTGATGTGTGCATTCATCTCACAGAGTTGAACCTTTATTTTCATTGAGCAGTTTTGAAACTCTTTTTGTAGGATCTGCAGGGGATATTTGGAGCCCCTAGAGGCCTATTGTGGAAAAGGAAATATCTTCTCATAAAAACTACACCGAAGCATTCAGAGAAACTTCTTTGTGATGTGTGCATTCATCTCACAGAGTTGGACATTTCATTTTATTGAGCAGTTTTGAAACACTCTTTTTGTAGAATCTGCAAGTGGATATTTGCAGCCCTGTGAGGCCTACTGTGGAAAATCAAATATGTTCACATAAAAACAACACAGAAGCATTCTGAGAAACTTCTTTGTGATGTGTGCATTCAACTCACAGAGTTGAACCTATCTTTTGATTATGCAGTTTAGAATCTCTCTATTTGTAGAATCTGCAAGTGGCTATTTGGAGCCTTTTGGGCCCTATGGTGGTAAAGGACATATCTTCAAATAAAAACCACACAGAAGAATTCTGAGAAAGTTCTATGTGATGTGTGTATTAAACTCACAGAGTTGAACTTATATTTTGATTGAGCAGTTTTGAATCTCTTTTTTTGTAGAATCTGCAAGTGGATATTTGCAACCCTGTGAGGCCTACTGTGGAAAATCAAATATGTTCACATAAAAACAACACAGAAGCATTCTGAGAAACTTCTTTGTGATGTGTGCATTCAACTCCCAACGCTGAACTATCTTTTGACTGAGCAGTTTTGAATCTCTGTTTTTGCAGAATCTGAAAGTGGATATTTGGAGAGCTTTGAGGACTATTTTGGAAAAGGAAATAACTTCAAATAAAAACTACACAGAAGCATTCTGAGAAACTCCTTTGTGAGGTGTGCATTCAACTCACAGAGTTGAACTTATCTTCTCATTGAGAAGTTTAGACTCTCTCTTTCTGTAGAATCTGCAAGTGGATATTTGGAGCGCTTTGAGGCCTACCGTGGAAAAGCAACTATCTTCAGATAAAAACTACACAGAAGCATTATGAGAAACTTCTTTGAGATGTGTGCATTCATCTCACAGAGTTGAACCTTTCTTTTGATTGAGCAGTTTTGAATCTGTCTTTTTGCAGAATCGGCAGGTTTATATTTGGAGCCTTTGAGGTCTACTGTGTGAAAGCAAATATCTTCACTTAAAGACTACACAGAAGCATTCTGAGAAAATCCTTTGGGATGTGTGAATTCATCTCACAGAGTTGAACTTTTCTTTTGATTGAGCAGTTTTGAAACACTCTTTTGTAGAATCTGCAAGTGGATAATTGGAGCCCTTTGAGGCCTATTGTGGAAAAGCAAATATCTTCACATAAAAACTACTCAGAAGCATTCTGAGAAACTTCTTTGTGATGTGAGCATTGAACTCACAGAGTTGAACCTACCTTTTGATTGAGCAGTTTGGAATCTCTCTTTTTGTAGAATTTGTAAGTGGATATTTGGAACCCTTTGCACCCTGAGGTGGAAAAGGAAATATCTTCAAACAAAAAATTCACAGAAGCATTCTCAGAAACTACTTCGTGATGTGTGCATTCAACTCACAGAGCTGAAAATATCTTTTGATTAAGCAGTTTTGAATCTCTCTTTTGCAGAATCTGCTAGTGGATATTTGGAGCGCTGTGAGGCCTATTGTTGAAAATCAAATATGTTTACATAAAAAATACACAGTAACATTCTGAGAAACTTCTTTGTGATTGGTGCATTTATCTCACAGTTGAACCTTTCTTTTGATTAAGCAGTTTTGAATTTCTCCTTTTGCAGAATCTGCAAGTGGATATTTGGAGGGCTTTGAGGCCTATTGTGGAAAAGGAAATATCTTCACCTAAAAACTAAACAGAAGTATTCTGATAAACTTTTTTGTGAGGTGTGCATTAACTCACAGAGTTGAACATATCTTCTGATTGAGTAGTTTTGAATCTCTCTTTTTGTAGAATCTGCAAGTTGATATTTGGAGCCCTCTGCACCCCATGGTGGAAAAGGAAATATCCTCAAATAAAAACTACACAGAGGCATTCAGAGAAACTTCTTTGTGAGGTATGCATTCACCTCACAGAGTTGAATGTAAGTTTTGATTGAGCAGTTTTGAATCTCTCTTTTTGCAGAATCGGCAGGTTTATATTTGAAGCCTTTGAGGCATACTGTGCAAAAGCAAATATCTCACTTAAAGACTGCACAGAAGAATTCTGAGAAAATCCTTTGGGATGTGTGAATTCTCCTCACAGGGTGGAACCTATCTTCTGATTGAGCTGTTTTGAATATGTCTTTTTGCAGAATCTGCAAGTGGATATTTGGAGCCCTTTGTGGCCTATGTTGGAAAAGGAAATATCTTCAAATAAAAACTACACAGAAACATTCTGAGAAACTTCTTTGTGATGTGTGCATTCTTCTCACAGGGTTGAGCCTGTCTTATGATTCAGCAGTTTTGAAACACTCTTTTTGTAGAATCTGCATGTGGATATTTGGAGCGCTTTCAGGCCTACCATGGAATAGCAAATATCTTCAGATAAATAAAACAGAGAAGCATTCTGAGAAACTTCTTTGTGATGTGTGCATTCAACTCACATAGTTGAAACCTTCTTCTGATTGAGCAGTTTTGAAACACACTTATTATAGAATCTGCAAGTGGATATTTGGAGACCTTTGAGGCCTACTGTGTAAAAGAAATATCTTCACATAAAAACTACACAGAAGCATTCTGAGAAACTTCTTTGTGATGTGTGCATTCAACTCACAGAGTTGAACCTTTCTTTTGATGGAACAGTTTTGAAACACTCTTTTTGTAGAATCTGCACGTGGATATTTGGAGCCCTTTGCGCTCTATGTTGGAAAAGGAAATATCTTCAAATAAAAACTACACAGAAGCATTCTCAGAAACTTCTTCGTGATGTGTGCATTCAACTCACAGAATTGAACCTGTCTTTTGATTGAGCAGTTTTGAATCTCTATTGTGTAGAATCTGCAAGTGGATACTTGGAGCGCTGTGAGGCCTACTGTGGAAAATCAAGTATGTTCACATAAAAACGTCACAGAAGCATTCTGAGAAACTTGTTTGTGATGTTTGCATTCATCTCACAGAGTTGAACCTTTCTTTTGATTGAGCAGTTTTGAAACACTTTTTTTGTAGAATCTTCAAGTGGATATTTGGAGCCCTTTGTGGCCTATTGTGGAAAGGGAAATATCTTCACATAAAAACTACACAGAAGCATTCTGAGAAACATCTTGTGATGTGTGCATTCATCTCACAGGGTTGAACCTTTCTTTTGATTGAGCAGTTTTGAAACACTCTTTTTGCAGAATCTGCAAGTGGAAAATTGGAGTCCTTTGAGGCCTATTGTTGAAAAGGAAATATCTTCAAATAAAAAGTACTCAGAAGCATTCTGAGAAACTTCTTTGTGACGTGTGCATTCAACTCACATAGGTGAAACTGTCTTTTGAGCAGTTTAGAATCTCTCTTTTTGTAGAATCTGCAAGTGGATATTTGGAGCCCTTTGTGCCCTATGGAGGAAAAAGAAATATCTTTAAATAAAAGCGACACAGGAAAATTCTCAGAAATTTCTTCGTGATGTGTGCATTCAACTCAAAGAGCTGAAGCTATCTTATGATTGAGCAGTTTTGAAACCCTCTTTTTGTATTATCTGCAAGTGGATATTTGGAGCGCTTTGAGGCCTACCGTGGAAAAGCAAATATCTTTAGATAAAAACTACACAGAAGCATTCTCAGAAACTTCTTTGTGATGTGTGCTTTCATCTCACAGTGTTAAACTTTTCTTTTGATTCGGCAGTTTTGAAAGACTCTTTTTGTAGAATCTGCAAGTGGATAATTGGAGCCCTTTGAGGCCTCTTGTGGACAAGGAAATATCTTCACATAAAAACTGCACAGAAGGATTCTGAGAAACTTCTTTGCGATGTGTGCATTCATCCCACAGGGTTGAAGCTTCCTTTTGATTGAGCAGTTTGGAAACACTCTTTTTGTACAATCTGCAAGTAGACATTTGGAGCCCCTTGAGGTCTATTGTGGAAAAGAAAATATCTTCACATAAAACCTACACGGAAGCATTTTGAGAAACTTCTTTGTGATGAGTGATTTCAATTCACAGGGTTGAACCTATCTTCTGATTGAGCAGTTTTGAATCTTTTTGCAGAATCTGCAAGTGGATATTTGGAGCCCTTTGTGGCCTATGGTAGAAAAGGAAATATCTTCAAGTAAAAACTACGCAGAAACATTCTCAGAAACTTCTTTGTGATGTGTGCATTCATCTCAAAGGTTTGAGGCTGTCTTATGATTGAGTAGTTATGAAACACTCTTTTTGTAGAATCTGCAAGTGGATATTTTGATCTCTTTGAGGGCTACCGTGGAAAAGGAGTTACCTTCAGTTAAAAACGGCACAGAAGCATTATGAGAAACTTCTTTGTGATATGTGCATTTATCTCACAGAGTTGAACATTTCTTTAGATTGAGCAGTTTTGAAACACTCTTTTTGTAGTATTTTCAAATGAATATATGCAGCCCTTTGACGCCTATTATGGAAAAGGAAATATCTTCACATAAAAACTACCCAGAAGCACTCTGAGAAACTTCTTTGTGAGGTGTGCATACAACTCGCAGAGCTGACCCTTTCTTTTGATTGAGCAGTTTTGAAACACACTTTTTGTAGAATCTGCAAGTGGATATTTGGAACCCTTTGTACCCTATGGTGGAAAAGGAAATATCTTCAAATAAAAACTACACAGAAGCATTCAGAGAAACTTCTTTGTGATGTACGCTTTCAACTCACAGAGTTGAACCTATCTTTTGATTGAGCAGTTATGAATCTCTCTTTCTGCAGAATCTGCAGGATGATATTGGGAGCTCTTTAAGGCCTTCTGTGGAAAAGCAAATATCTTCACTTAAAAACTACACGGAAGCATTCTTGGAAAATTCTTTGGAATGTGTGAATTCAACTCACAGGTTTGAAACTTTCTTCTGTTTGAACGGTTTTGAATCTCTCTTTTTGCAGAATCTGCAAGTGGATATTTGAAGCCCTTTGCGGCCAATGGTGGAAAAGGACATATTTCAAATAAAAACTTCACAGAAACATTCTGAGAAACTTCTTTGTGATGTATGCATTCATCTCACAGAGTTAAGCCTGTCTTATGATTGAGCAGTTTTGAAACACTCTTTTTGTAGAGTCTGCAGGTGGATATTTGGAGCGCTTTGAGGCCTACTGTGGTAAAGCAAATATCTTCACATAAAAACTACACAGAAGCATTCTGAGCAACTTCTTAGTGATGTGTGCATTGTACTCACAGTGTTGAACCTATCTTTTGATTGAGCATCTTAGAATTTGTCTTTTTGTAGAATCTGCACGTGGATATTTGGAGCCCTTATACCCTATGGAGGAAAAGTAAATATCTTCGTATAAAAACTACACAGAAGCATCATCGTAATGTGTGAATTCAACTCACAAAATTGAACCCAGCTTTTGATTGAGCAGTTTTGAATCTCTCTTTCTGTAGAATCTGCAAGTGGATATTTGGAGCACTGTGAGACCTAATGTGGAAAATCAAATATGTTCACATAAAAACTACAAAGAAACATTCTGAGAAACTTCTTTGTGATGTGTGCATGCAACTCACAGAGGTGAACCTACCTTTTGATTGAGCAGTTTTGAATCTCTCCTTTTGCAGAATATGCAGGTGGAGGTTTGGATATCTTTGAGGCCAATTGTGGAGAAGAAAATATCTTCACATAAAAAGTACACAGAAGCATTCTGAGAAACTTCTTTGTGAGGTGTGCATTCAACTCACAGAGTTGAACTTATCTTCTCATTGAGCAGTTTTGAATCCCTCTTTTTGTAGAATCTGCAAGTGTATATTTGAAGCCCTTTGGCCCTATGGTGGAAAAAGAAATATCTTCAAATAAAAAGTACACAGAAGTAATCGGAGAAACTTCTTTGTGATGTATGCATTCAACTCACAGGTTTGAACCTATCTTTTGATTGAAGAGTTTAGAATCTCTCTTTTCGTAGAATCTGCAAGTGGATATTTGGAGCACTGTGAGGCCTTCTGTGGAAAATCAAATACGTTCACATAAAAACTACACAGAAGCACTCTGAGGAACTCTTTCGTGATGTGTGCATTCAACTCACAGAGTTGAACCAATATTTTGATTGAGCAGTTTTGAATCTCTCTTTTTGCAGAATCTGCAAGTGGATGTTTGGAGAGCATTAAGGCCTATTGTGGAAAAGGAAATATCTTCACATAAAAACTTCACAGAAGCATTCTGAGAAACTTCTTTGTGAGGTGTGCATTCAACTCACAGAGTTGAACTTATCTACTCACTGAGCACTTTTGAATCTCTCCTTTTGTAGAATCTGCATGTGGATCGTTGGAGCCCTTTGTGCCCTATGGTGGAAAAGGACATATCTTCAAATAAAAACTACACAGGAGTATTCAGAGAAACTCCTTTTTGATGTATGTATTCAACTCACAGAGTTGAACCTTTCCTTTGATTGAGCAGTTTTGAATCTCTCTTTTTGCGGAATCTCCAGGTGGATATTTGGAGCCCTTTGAGGCCTACTGTGGAAAAGCAAATATCTTCAGATAAAAAGTACACAGAAGCATTCTGAGAGACTACTTTGGGATGTGTGCATTCAACTCACAGAGTTGAATTATTTTCTCATTGAGCAGTTTTGAATTTCTCTTTTTGTAGAATCTGCAACTGGATATTGGAGCCCTTTGCACCCAATGGTGGAAAAGGAAATATCTTCAAATAAAAACTACACAGAAGCATTCAGAGAAACTTCTTGGTGATGTAGGCATTCAACTCACAGAGTTGAACCTATCTTTTGATTGAGCAGTTTTGAATCTCTTTTTTGGCAGGATGTGCATTTGGATATTTGGAGCCCTTTGAAGCCTAATGTGGAAAGGGAAATATCTTCACAAAAAAACTACACAAAAGAATTATGAGAAACTTTTTTGGGATATGTGCATTCAACTCACAGAGTTGAACCTCTTTTGATTGAGGAGCTTTCAAACACACTTTTTCTAGAATCTGCAAGTGGATATTTGGAGCCCTTTGTGGCCTATGGTGGAAAAGGAAATATCTTCAAATAAAAAGTACACAGAAATATTATGAGAAATATCTTTGTGATGTGTGCATTCATCTCACAGGGTTGAACTTATCTTATGATTTAGCAGTTTCGAAACACTCTTGTTGTGGAATCTGCAAGTGGATATTTGGAGCGCTTTGAGGCCTACCGTTGAAAAGCAAATATCTTCAGATAAAAACTACACAGAAGCATTCTGAGAAACTTCTTTGTGAAGTGTGCATTCATCTCAAAGAGTTGAACCTTTCTTTTGATTGAGCAGTTTTGAAACACTCTTTTTGTAGAATCTGCAAGTGGATATTTGGAGCCCCTTGAGGCCTGTTGTGGAAAAGGAAATATCTTCAGGTAAAAACTACACAGAAGCATTCTGAGAAACTACTTTGTGATGTGCGTATTCATCTCACAAGGTTGAAAGTTTCTTTTGTTGGAGCAGTTTTGAAACACTATTTTTGTAAAATCTGTAAGTGGATAATTGTAGCCCTTTGAGGCCTACTGTGGAAAAGGAAATATCTTCACATAAAAACTACACAGAAGCATTCTGAGAAACTTCTTTGTGAGGTGTGCATTCAACTCAGAGTTGAATTATTTTCTCATTGAGCAATTTTGAATTTCTCTTTTTGTAGAATCTGCAAGTGGATATTGGAGCCCTTTGAGCCCCATGGTGGAAAAGGAAATATCTTCAGATAAAAACTGCACAGAAGCATTCAGAGAAACTTCTTGGTGATGTAGGCATTCAACTCACAGAGTTGAACCTATCTGTTGATGGAGTAGTTTTGAATCACCCTTTTTGCAGAGTCTGCAGGTGGATATTTGGAGCCCTTTGAGGCCTACTGTGGAAAAGCAAATATTTTCACATAAAAACCACACATAGGCATTCTGAGAAACTTCTTTGTGATGTGTGCACTCAACTCATATAGTTGAAACTATCTTTTGATTGAGCAGTTCTGAATCTCTCTTTTTGCAGAATCTGTAAGTGGATGTTAGGAGAGCGTTGAGGCCTTTTGTGGAAAAGGAAATATCTTCAAACAAAAACTACACAGAAGCATTCAGAGAAGCTTCTTTGTGCTGTATGCATCCACCTCACGCAGTGGAACCTATCTTTTGATTGGGCAGTTTTGAATCTCTCTTTTTGCAGTATCTGCAGGTGGATATTCGGAGACCTTTGAGGCCTACTGTGGAAAAGGAAATATCTTCAAATAACAACTACACTGAAGCATTTTTTGAAACTTCTTTGGGATATGCATTCAACTCACAGAGTTCAACCTATCTTTTGATTGAGCAGTTTTGAATCTCTTCTTTTGCAGAATCTGCAAGTGGATATTTGGAGCCCTTTGCGCCCTATGGTGGAAAAGGAAATATCTTCAAATAAAAACTACACAAAAGCATTCCCAGAAACTTCTTCTTGATGTACGCATTCAACTCACAGAGTGGAACCAATCTTTTGATTGATGAGTTTTGAATGGCTCTTTTTGTAGAATTTGCAAGTGGATATTTGGAGCACTGTGAGGCCTACTGTGGAAAATGAAATATGTTCACATAAAAATTACACAGAAATATCTGAG
>NT_187420.1:335279-374808 GCF_000001405.40 Homo sapiens
TCTGCATTGGATATTTGGAGTGCTTTGAGGCCTATTGTGAGAAAGGAAATATCTTCAGATAAAAACTACCCAGAAGCTTTCTGAGAAACTTCTTTGTGATGTGTGCATACATCTCACAGAGTTGAACCTTTCTTTTGATTGAGTAGTTTTGAAACACTCTTTTTGTCGAAACTGCAAGTGGATAATTGCAGCCATTTGAAGCCTACTGTGGAAAAAGAAATATGTTCACATGAAAACTACTCAGAAGCATTCTGAGAAACTTCTTTGTGAAGTGTGCATTCAACTCACAGAGTTGAACTTATCTTGTCATTGAGCAGTTTTTAATCTCTCTTTTTGTAGAACCTGCAAGTGGGTATTTGGAGCCCTTTGCCCCCTATGGTGGAAAAGGAAATATCTTCAAATAAAAACTAAACAGAAGCATTCAGAGAAACGTCTTTATGATGTATGCATTCAACTCACAGAGTTGAACCTATCTTTTGATTGAGCGGTTTTGAATCTCTCTTTTTGCAGAATCTGCATGTGAATATTTGGAACCCTTTGAGGCCTACTGTGGAAAAGCAAATATCTTCACATAAAAACTACACAGAAGCATTCTGAGAAACACCTTTGTGAGGTGTGCATGCAAATCAATAGTCGAATCCATCTTTTGATTGAGCCGTTTTTAATCTCTCTTTTTGCTGAATTCTCAAGTGGATATTTGGAGCCCTTTGCGCCCTGTGGTAGAAAAGGAAATATCTTCAAATAAAAACTACGCAGAACCTTTCAGAGAAACATCTTTTTGATGAGTGCATTCATCACACAGAGTTGAACCTATCTTATGGTTGAGCAGTTCTGAAACACTATTTTTGTAGATTCTGCAAGTGGATATTTGGAGCGCTTTGAGGCCTACCGTGCAAAACCAAATATCTTCAGATAAAAACTGCAGAGAAACATTCTGAGAAATTTCTTTTTCATGAGTGCATTCATCTCACGGAGTTGATCCCTTCTTTTGATTGAGCTGTTTTGAAACACTGTTTTTGCAGGCTCTGCAAGTGGATATTTGGAGAGCTTCAATGTCTGCTATGGAAAAGCAAATATTTTCACATAAAAACAGCACAGAAGCATTCTGAGAAACGTCTTTGTGATGTGTGCCTTCATCTCACACAGTCGAAGCTTTCTTTTGATTAAGCAGTTTTGATACACTATTTTTGTAGAATCTACAAGTGGATATTTGGAGTGATTTGAGGCCCATTGTGGAAACGGAAATATCTTCACATAAAAATCCCATGGAAGCATACTGAGAAACTTCTTTGTGATGAGTGCATTCACCACAGAGAGTTGAAACTTTCTTTTGATTGAGCAGTTTTGAAGCACTCTTTTTGTAGAATCTGGAAGTGGATATCTGGAGAGCTTTGAGGGCAACATTGGAAAAGGAACTGTCTTCACATAAAAACTACACAGAAGTATTCAGAGAAACTTCTTTGTTATGTGTGCATTCAACTCACAGATTTGAATATATCTTTTGATTGAGCAGTTTTGAATCTCTTTTTTTGCAGAATCTACAAGGGGATATTTGGAGCGCTTTGAGGCCTACTGTGGAGAAGCAAATATCTTCACATAAAAACTACACAGAAGCATTCTGAGAAACTTCTTTGTGAGGTGCGCATTTAACTCAATAGCCGAACATATCTTTTCATTGAGCCATTTTGAATTTCTTTTTTTGCAGAATCTGCAATTGGATATTTAGAGCCCTTTGTGCCCTGTTGTGGAAAAGGAAATATCTTCAAATAAAAATTACCCAGAAGCATTCAGAGAAACATCTTTGTGATGAGTGTATTCATCACACAGAGTTGAACCTTTCTTTTGATTGAGAAATTTTGAAACACTCTTTTTCTAGGATCTGCAAGGGGATATTTGGAATGCTTTGAGAGCTATTGTGGAAAAGGAGATCCCTTCACTGAAAAACTACACAGAATCATTCTGAGAAACTTCTTTGTGATGTGTGAATTCATCTCACAGAGTTGATCCCTTCTTTTGATTGAGCTGTTTTGAAACACTGTTTTTGTGGAATCTGCAAGTGGATATTTGGAGAGCTTCGAGGCCTACTGTGGAAAAGCAAATATTTTCACATAAAAACTACACAGGAGCATTCTGAGAAACATTTTCGTGCTGTGTGCATTCATCTCACACGCTTGAACCTTTCTTTTGATTGAGCTGTTTTGAAACACTACTTTTGTAGAATCTGCAAGCGGATATTTGGAGCGATTTGAGGCCTATCATGGAAAAGGAAATATCTTCACATAAAAACTACACGGAAGCATACTGAGAAACTTCTTTGTGATAAGTGCATTCATCACACAGAGTTGAATCTTTCTTTTGACTGAGGAGTTTTGAAACCCTCATTTTGTACAATCTGGAAGTTGATATTTGGAGGGTTTTGGGGCATATTTTGGAAAAGAAAATATATTCACATAAAAACTACACAGAAGCATTCTGAGAATCTTCTTTGTGATGTGTGCATTCAACTCACAGAGTTGAACCTATCTTTTGATTGAGCAGTTCTGAATCTCTCTTTTTGTAGAATCTGCAAGTCGATATTCAGAGCTCTTTCAGGCCTATTGTGGAAAAGGAAATATCTTCACATGAAAACTACACAGAAGCATTCTGAGAAATTTCTCTGTGATGTGTGAATTCATCTCACAGAGTTGATCCTTTCTTTTGATTGTGCAGTTTTGAAAAACTGTTTTTGTGGAATCTTCAATTGGATATTTGGAGCTCTTTGAGGCCTACTGTGGAAAAGCAAATATCTTCAAAAAAACTACACAGAAACTTTCTGAGAAACTTCTTTGTGATGTGTGCATTCATCTCACAGAGTTGAAACTTGCTTTTGATGGATCAGTTTTGAAAAACTCTTTTTGTTGAATCTGCAAGCGGATATTTGGAGTGATTTGAGAGCTATTGTGGAAAAGGAAATATCTTCACATAAAAGCTACACAGAAGCATTCTGAGAAACTTCTTTGTGATGTATGCATTCATCTCACATGGTTGAACCTATTTCATGATTGAGCAGTATTGAAACAATCTTTTTGTAGTATCTGCTAGTGGATATTTGGATCGCTTTGACGCGTACCTTGGAAAAGGAAATATCTTCACCTAAATACTACAGGAAGCATTCTGAGAAACTACTTTGTGACGTGTGCATTCAACTCACAGAGTTGAACGTATCTTTTGATTGAGCAGTTTAGAATCTCTCTTTTTGTAGAATCTGCAGGTGGATATTTGGAGACTTTTGCGACCTATGGTGGAAAAGGAAATATCTTAAATAAAAACTACACAGAAGCATGCAGAGAAACTTCTTCATGATGAGTGCATTCAACACAGAGAGGTGAATCTTTCTTTTGACTGAGCAGTTTTGAAACACTGTTTCTGTAGAACCTGGAAGTGGATATTTGAAGGGCTTTGAGGACTATTTTGGAAAAGGAAATATCTTCACATAAAAACTACACAGAAGCGTTCTGTGAAACTTCTTCCTGATGTGCATTCAACTCACAGAGATGAACCTATGTTTTGATTGAGCAGTTTTAAATCTTTCTTTTTGTAGAATCTGCAGGTGGATATTTGGAGCCCTTTGCAGCCTATGGTTGAAAAGGAAATAGCTTCAAATAAAAACTACACAGAAGCATTCTGAGAAACTTCTTTGTGATGTGTGCATTCAACTCACAGGGTTGTTACTGTCTTATGATTGAGCCGTTTTGAAACACTCTTTTTGTAGAATCTGGAAGTGGATATTTGGAGCGCTTTGCGGCCCATTGTGGAAAAGGAAATATCTTCATATAAAAACTACACAGAAGCATTCCTAGAAACCTCTTTGTGATGTGTGCATTCATCTCACAGAGTTGATCCTTTCTTTTGATTGAGCAGTTTTGAAACACTGTTTTTGTGGAATCTGCAAGTGGTTATTTGGAGCCCTTTGAGGCCTACTGTGGAAAAGCAAATATCTTCACATAAAAACTACACAGAAACATTCTGAGAAACTTCCTTGTGATGTGTCCATTCATCTCACAGAGGTGTATCTTTCTTTTGAGCAGTTGGAAACACTCTTTGTGTAGAATCTGCAAGTGGAAATTTGGAGCGATTTGAGGCCTACTGTGTAAAAGGAAATATCTTCACATAAAAACTAGACAGAAGAATTCTGAGAAACTTCTTTGTGATGTGTGCATTCATCTCACAGAGTTGAACCTTTCTTTTGATTGAGCAGTTTGGAAACACTCTTTTTGTAGAATCTGCAAGTGGATATTTGGAGCGCTTTGAGGCCTATTGTGGAAAAGGAAATATATTCGTAAAAAAACTACACAGAAGCATTCCTAGAAACCTCTTTGTGATGTACTCATTCATCTCGCAGATTTGATCCTTTCTTTTGACTGAGCAGTTTTGAAACACTGGTTTTGTAGAATCTGCAAGTGGATATTTGGAGCCCTTTGAGGCCTACTGTGGAAAAGCAAATATCTTCACATAAAAACTACACAGAAGTATTCTGAGAAACTTCTTTTTGATGTGTGTGTTCAACTCACAGGTTTGAAGCTTTCTTTTGATTGAGCAGTTTTGAAACACTCTTTTTGTAAAATCTGCAAGTGAATATTTGGAGCGATTTGAGGCCTATTGTGTAAAGGGAAATATCTTCACATAAAAATTACACAGAAGCATTCTGAGAAACTTCTTTGTGATGTCTCTATTGAACTCACAGAGTTGAACCGATCTTCTGAATGAGGAGTTTTGAATCTCTCTTTTTGTAGAATGTGCAAGTGGATATTTTGAGCCCTGTGCACTGTATTGTGGAAAAGGAAATATCCTCAAATAAAAGTTACACAGAGGCATTCAAGGAAACTTCTTTGTGATGTGTGCATTCAATTTACAGAGTTGAACCTATCTTTTGATTGAGCAGTTTTGAATCTCTCTTTTTGTAGAATCTGCAAGTGGATATTTGGAGTCCTTTGTGGCCTATGGTGAAAAAGGAAATGTCTTCAAATAAAAAATACACAGAAACCTTCTGAGAAACTTCTTCTTAATTTGTGCATTCATCTCACAGTGTTCAACCTATATTATGAATGAGCATTTTTGAAACACTCTTTTTGTAGGATCTGCAGGTGGATATTTGGAGTGCGTTGAGGTCTATTGTGGAAAAGCATACATCTTCACATAAAAACTACAGAGAAGCATTCTGAGTAACTTTATGTGATGTGTGCTTTCAACTCACAGAGCTGATTCTGTCTGTGGATTGAGCAGTTTTGAAACACAGTTTTTGTAGAATCTGCAAGTGGATATTTGGAGCACTTTGAGGCCTACTGTGGAAAAGCAAATATCTTCACATAAAAACTACACAGAAGCATTCTGAGAAAATTCTTTGTGATGTTTGCATTCATCTCATAGAGTGGAACATTTCTTTTGATTGAGCACTTTTGAAACACTCTTTTTGTAGAATCAGCAAGTGGATATTTGGAGCCCTTTGCTGCCTAAGGTGGAAAAGGAAATATCTTCAAATAAAAACTACACAGAAGTATTCTGAGAAACTTCTTTGTGATGTGTGCATTGATCTCACAAGTTTGAACCTATCTTATGATTGAGCAGTTTTGGAACACTCTTTTTGTAGCATCTGCTAGTGGATATTTGGAGCACTTTCAGGCCTACTGTGGAAAAGCAAATATCTTCACCTGAAAATTACACAGAAGCATTCTGAGAATCTTCTTTGTAATGTGTTCATTCATCGGACAGGGTCGATCCTTTCTTTTGATAAAGAAGTTTTGAAACACTGGTTTTGTAGAATCTGCAAGTGGATATTTGGAGCGCTTTGAGGCCTACTGTGGAAAAGCAAATGTCTTCACATAAAAACTATAGAGAAGCATTCTGAGAAACTTATTTGTGATGTGTGCATTCATCTCACAGAGTTCAACCTGTCTTTTGATTGAACAGTTTTGAAAAACTCTTTTTGTTGAATCTGCAAACTGATATTTGGAGCGATTTGAGGCCTATGGTGGAAAAGGAAATATCTTCACGTAAAAACTACACAGAAGCATTCTGAGAAACTTCTTTGTGAAGTGTGCATTCATCTCACAGGGTTGAACCTATCTTATGATTGAGCAGTTTTGAAACACTCTTTTTGTAGAATCTGCTAGTGGATATTTGGAGCGCTTTGAGGCCTATTGAGGAAAAGGAAATATCTTCACCTAAAAACTATACAGAAGCATTCTGAGAAACTTCTTTGTAATGTGTCCATTCATCTCACAGAGTTGAACCTATCTGTTGATTGAGCAGTTTTGAATCTATCTTTTTGTAGAATGTGCAAGTGGATATTTGGAGCCCCTTGAGGCCTATGTTGGAAAAGGAAATATCTTCACATAAAAACCACACAGAAGCATTCCTAGAAACGTCTCTGTGATGTGTGTATTCATCTCACATTGTTGACCCTTTCTTTTGACTGAACAGTTCTGAAACACTGTTTTTGTAGAATCTGCAAGTGGATATTTGAGGCCTACTGTGGAAAAGCAAATAGCTTCACATAAAAACTATACAGAAGCATTCTGAGAAACTTCTTTTTGATGAGTGCATTCATCTCACAGATTTGAAGCCTTCTTTTGATTGAGCAGTTTTGAAAAACTCTTTTTGTAGAATCTGCAAGTGAATATTTGGAGCAATTTGAGGCGTATTGTGGAAAAGGAAATATCTTCACATAAAAACTACACAGAAGCATTCTGAGAAACTTCTTTGTGTTGTCTGCATTCAACTCACAGAGTTGAACCGATGTTCTGATTGAGCAGCTTTGAATCTCTCCTTTTGTAGAATCTGCAAGTGGATATTTGGAGCGAGTTGCGGCCTATCGTGGAAAGCGAAATATCTTCACATAAAAACTACACAGAAGCATTCTGAGAAACTTCTTTGTGATGTGCGCATTCATCTCACAGGGTTGACCCTCTCTTATGACTGAGCAGTTTTGAGACACTCTTTTTGTAGAATATGCAAGTGGATATTTTGAACGCTTTGACGCCTATTGTGGAAAAGGAAATATCTTCACATGAAAACTACACAGAAGCATTCTGAGAAACTTCCTTGTGATGTGAGTATTTATCATACAGAGTTGAACCTTTCTTTTGATGCAGCAGTTTTCAAACACAATTTTTGGGGAATTTGCAAGGGGTTATTTTGAGCGCTTTGAGGCCTATGGTGGAAAAGGGAATATCTTCATATGAAAACTAGACAGAAGAAATCTGAGAAACTTCTCTGTGATGCATGCATTCATCTCACAGAGTTGAACCTATCTTTTGATTGAGCAGTTTGGAAACATTCATTTTGTAGAATCTGCAAGTGGACATTTGGAGCGCTTTGCGGCCTAAGGTAGAAAAGGAAATATCTTCACATAAAATCTAGACAGAAGCAATCTGAGAAATTTCTTTTGAAGTGTGCATGCATATCACAGAATTATAGCTTTCTTTTGATTGACCAGTTTTGAAACTCTCTTTTTGTAGAATCTGCAAGTGGACAATTAGAGCGTTTTGAGGCCTATGGTGGAAAAGGAAATATCTTCACATAAAATCTAGCCAGAAGAATTCTGAGAAACTTCTTTTTGATGTGTGCGTTAATCTCACAGAGGTGAACCTTTCCTTCGATTGAGCAGTTTGGAAAGACTCTTTTTATAGAATCTGCAGGTGGACATTTGGAGTGCATTGTGGCCTATGGTTGAAAAGGAAATATCTACAGAAAATCTAGACAGAAGCAATCTGAGAAACTTATTTGTGATGTTTGCATTTATCTCACAGGGTTGAACCTTGCTTTTGATTGAGCAGTTTTGAAACTCTCTTTTTGTAGAATCTGCAAGTGTACATTTTGAGCGCTTTGAGGTCTATGGTGGAAAAGGAAATATAATCACATAAAAACTAGATAGAAGCAATTTGAGAAACTTCTTTGTGATGTGTGCATTCATCTCTCAGAGTTGAACCTTTATTTTGATGGACCAGTTTTGAAATACACTTTTTTCAGAATCTGCAAGTGGACATTTCTAGTACCTTGAGGCCTTTGGTGGAAAATGAAATATCTTCACATAAAAACTAGAGAGAAGAATTCTAGGAAACTTCTTTTGATGTGTACCTTCATCTCACAGAGTTGAATCTTTCTTTTGATTGAGCAGTTTGGAAACACCCTTTTTTGTAGAATCTGCAACTGGACATTTGGAGCGCTTTGCGGCCTATGTTAGAAAAGGAAATATCTCCACGTAAAATCTAGACAGAAGCAATCTGAGAAACATCTTTGTGATGTTTGCATTCATCTCACAGAGTTAAACCTTTCTTTTGATCGAACAGTTTTGAAACTCTCTTTTTGTAGAATCTGCAAGTGGACATTTGGAGCGCTTTGAGGGCTATGGTGGAAAAGGGAATATCTTGACATAAAAACTAGACAGAAGAATTCTGAGAAACTTCTTTGTGATGTGGGCGTTCATCTCACAGATTTGAAACTTTCTTTTTTTTGTTTCCAATTCTTAAAATTAGTTTATTTTTTGAATAACCTCATTAATTAATTAATTAATTTATTTATTTATTATTGTCATACTTTAAGTTTTATGGTACATGTGCACAATGTGCAGGTTACTTACATATGTTCACATGTGCCATGGTGGTGTGCTGCACCCACTAACTCGTCATCTAGCTTTAGGTATCTCTCCCAATGCTATCCCTCCCCTGTTGCCCCACCCCACAAAAGTCCCCAGAGTGTGATGTTCCCCTTCCTGTGTCCATGCGTTCTCATTGTTCAATTCCCACCTATGAGTGAGAATATGTGGTGTTTGGTTTTTTGTTCTTGTGATAATTTACTTAGAATGATGATTTCCAATTTCATCCATGTCCGTACAAAGGACTTGAACTCATCATTTTTTTATGGCTGCATAGTATTCCATGGTGTATATGTGTCACATTTTCTTAATCCAGTCTATCATTGTTGGACATTTGGGTTGGTTCCAAGTCTTTGCTATTGTGAATAATGCCGCAATAAACATACGTGTGCATGTGTCTTTATAGCAGCATGATTTATAGTCCTTTGGGTATATACCCAGTAATGGGATGGCTGGGTCAAATGGTATTTCTAGTTCTAGATCCCTGAGGAATCGCCACACTGACTTCCACAATGGTTGAACCAGTTTACAGTCCCACCAACAGTGTAAAAGTGTCCCTATTTCTCCACATCCTCTCCAGCACCTGTTGTTTCCTGACTTTTTAATGATTGCCATTCTAACTGGTGTGAGATGGTATCTCATTGTGGTTTTGATTTGCATTTCTCTGATGGCCAGTGATGGTGAGCATTTTTTCATGTGTTTTTTGGCTGCATAAATGTCTTCTTTTGAGAATGTCTGTTCATGTCCTTTGCCCACTTTTTGATGGGGTTGTTTGTTTTTTTTCTAGTAAATTTGTTTGAGTTCATCATAGATTCTGGATATTAGCCCTTTGTCAGATGAGTAGGTTGCGAAAATTTTCTCCCATTTTGTAGGTTGCCTGTTCACTCTGATGGTAGTTTCTTTTGCTGTGCAGAAGCTCTTTAGTTTAATTAGATCCCATTTGTCAATTTTGGCTTTTGTTGCCATTGCTTTTAGTGTTTTAGACATGAAGTCCTTGCCCATGCCTATGTCCTGAATGGTAATGCCTAGGTTTTCTTCTAGGGTTTTTATGGTTTTAGGCCTAAAGTTTATTTCTTTAATCCATCTGGAATTAATTTTTGTATAAGGTGTAAGAAAGGGATCTAGTTTCAGCTTTCTACATATGGCTAGCCAGTTTTCCCAGCACCGTTTATTAAATAGGGAATCCTTTCCCTATTGCTTGTTTTTCTCAGGTTTGTCAAAGATCAGATAGTTGTTAATATGTGGCATTACTTCTGAGGGCTCTGTTCTGTTCCATTGATCTATATCTCTGTTTTGGTACCATGCTGTTTTGGTTACTGTAGCCTTGTAGTGTAGTCTGAAGTCAGGTAGTGTGATGTCTCTAGATTTGTTCTTTTGGCTTAGGATTGACTTGGCGATGCGGGCTCTTTTTTGGTGCCATATAAACTTTAAAGTAGTTTTTTCGAATTCTGTGAAGAAAGTCATTGGTAGTTTGATGGGGATGGCACTGAATCTGTAAATTACCTTGGGCAGTATGGCCATTTTCTTGATATTGATTCTTCCTACCCATAAGCATGGAATGGTCTTCCATTTGTTGGTATCCTCTTTTATTTCCTTGAGCAGTGGTTTGTAGTTCTCCTTGAAGAGGTCCTTCACATCCCTTGTAAGTTTGATTCCAAGGTATTTTATTCTCTTTGAAGCAATTGTGAATGGGAGTTCACTCATGATTTGACTCTCTGTTTGTCTGTTGTTGGTGTATAAGAATGCTTGTGACTTTTGTACATTGATTTTGTGTCCTGAGACTTTGCTGAAGTTGATTATCAGCTTAAGGAGATTTTAGGCTGAGAAAATGGGGTTTTCTAGATATACAATCATGTCGTCTGCAAACAGGGACAGTTTGACTTCCTTTTTTCCTAATTGAATACCCTTTATTTCCTTCTCCTGCCTAATTGCCCTGGCCAGAACTTCCAACACTATGTTGAATAGGAGTGGTGAGAGAGGGCATCCCTGTCTTGTGCCAGTTTTCAAAGGGAATGCTTCCAGTTTTTGCCCATTCACTATGATATTGGCTGTGGGTTTGTCATAGATAGTTCTTATTATTTTGAGATAAGTCCCATCAATACCTAATTTATTGAGAGTTTTTAGCATGAAGTGTTGTTGAATTTTGTCAAAGGCCTTTTCTGCATCTATTGAGATAATCATGTGGTTTTTGTCTTTGGTTCTGTTTATATGCTGGATTACATTCATTGATTTGCGTATATTGAACCAGCCTTGCATCCCAGGGATGAAGCCCACTTGATCATGGTGGATAAGCTTTTTGATGTGCTGCTGGATTTGGTTTGCCAGTATTTTATTGAGGATTTTTGCATCAATGTTCATCAAGGATATTGGTCTAAAATTCTCTTTTTTGGTTGTGTCTCTGCCAGGCTTTGGTATCAGGGTGATGCTGGCCTCATAAAATGAGTTAGGAAGGATTCCCTCTTTTTCTATTGATTGGAATAGTTTCAGAAGGAATGGTACCAGTTCCTCCTTGTACCTCTGGTAGAATTCCACTGTGAATCCATGTGGTCCTGGACTCTTTTTGGTTGGTAAGCTATTGATTATTGTTATAATTTCAGCTCCTGTTATTGGTCTATTCAGAGATTCAACTTCTTCCTGGTTTAATCTTGGGAGAGTGTATGTGTCGAGGAATTTATGCATTTCTTCTAGATTTTCTAGTTTATTTGCGTAGAGGTGTTTGTAGTATTATCTGATGGTAGTTTTTATTTCTGTAGGATCGGTGGTGATATCCCCTTTATCATTTTTTATTGTGTCTATTTGATTCTTCTCTCTTTTTTTCTTTATTAGTCTTCCTAGCAGTCTATCAATTTTGTTGATCCTTTCAAAAATCCAGCTCCTGGATTCATTAATTTTTTGAAGGTTTTTTTTTGTCTCTATTTCCTTCAGTTCTGCTCTGATTTTAGTTATTTCTTGCCTTCTGCTAACTTTTGAATGTGTTTGCTCTTGCTTTTCTAGTTCTTTTAATTGTGATGTTAGGGTGTCAATTTTGGATCTTTCCTGCTTTCTCTTGTGGGCATTTAGTGCTATAAATTTCCCTCTACACACTGCTTTGAATGTGTCCCAGAGATTCTGGTATGGTGTGTCTTTGTTCTCGTTTGTTTCAAAGAACATCTTTATTTCTGTCTTCATTTCGTTATGTACCTAGTAGTCATTCAGGAGCAGGTTGTTCAGTTTCCATGTAGTTGAGCAGTATTGAATGAGATTCTTAATCCTGAGTTCTAGTTTGATTGCACTGTGGTCTGAGAGATAGTTTATAATTTCTATTCTTTTACATTTGCTGAGGAGAGCTTTACTTCCAACTACATGGTCAATTTTGGAATAAGTGTGGTGTGGTGCTGAAAATTATATACATTCTGTTGATTTGGGATGGAGAGTTCTGTAGATGTCTATTAGGTCCACTTGGTGCAGAGCTGAGTTCAATTCCTGGGTATCCTTGTTGACTTTCTGTCTCGTTGATCTGTCTAATGTTGACAGTGGGGTGTTAAAGTCTCCCATTATTAATGTGTGGGAGTCTAAGTCTCTTTGTAGGTCACTCAGGACTTGCTTTATGAATCTTGGTGCTCCTGTTTTGGGTGCATATATATTTAGGATAGTTAACTCTTCTTGTTGAGTTGATCCTTTATCATTAAGTAATGGCCTTCTTTGTCTCTTTTGATCTTTGTTGGTTTAAAGTCTGTTTTATCAGGGACTACTATTGTAACTCCTGCCTTTTTTTGTTTTCCACTTGCTTGGTAGGTCTTCCTCCATCCTTTTATTTTGAGCCTATGTGTGTTTCTGCACATGAGATGGGTTTCCTGAATACAGCACACTGATGGGTTTTGAATCTTTATCCAATTTGCCAGTCTGTGTCTTTTAATTGGAGTATTTAGTCCATTTACATTTAACGTTAATATTGTTATGTGTGAATTTGATCCTGTCATTATGATGTTAGCTGGTTATTTTTCTCTTTAGTTGATGCAGTTTCTTCCTAGTCTCGATGGTCTTTACATTTTGACATGATTTTGCAGTGGCTGGTACCTGTTGTTCCTTTCCATGTTTAGCACTTCCTTCAGGAGCTTTTTTAGGGCAGGCATGGTAGTGACAAAATCTCTCAGCATTTGCTTGTCTGTAAAGTATTTTATTTCTCCTTCACTTATGAAGCTTAATTTGGCTGGATATGAAATTCTGGGTTGAAAATTCTTTTCTTTAAGAATGTTGAATATTGGCCCCCACTATCTTCTGGCTTGTAGAGTTTCTGCTGAGAGATCTGCTGTTAGTCTTACGGGCTTCCCTTTGAGCATAACCCGACCTTTCTCTCTGGCTGTGCTTAACATTTTTTCCTTCATTTCAACTTTGGTGAATCTGATAGTTATGTGTCTTGGAGTTGCTCTTCTCAAGGAGTATCTTTGTGGCGTTCTCTGTATTTCCTGAATCTGAATGTTGGCCTGCCTTGCTAGACTGGGGAAGTTCTCCTGGATAATATCCTGCAGAGTGTCTTCCAACTTGGTTCCATCCTCCCCATCACTTTCAGGTACACCTATCAGATGTAGATTTGGTTTTTTCACATAGTCCCATATTTCTTGGAGGCTTTGCTTGTTTCTTTTTATTCTTTTTTCTCTAAACTTCCCTTCTCATTTCATTTCATTCATTTCATCTTCCATCACGATACCCTTTCTTCCAGTTGGTTGCATCAGCTCCTGAGACTTCTGCATTCTTCACGTAGTTCTCGAGCCTTGGTTTTCAGCTCCATCAGCTCCTTTAAGCATTTCTCTGTATTGGTTTTTCTAGTTATACATTGTTCTAAATTTTTTCAATGTTTTCAAATTCTTTGCCTTTGGTTTGAATTTCCTCCCCTAGCTCAGAGTAATTTGATCATCTGAAGCCTTCTCTCTCAGCTCGTCAAAGTCATTCTCCGTCCAGCTTTTTTCCGTTGCTGGTTAGGAACTGCATTCCTTTGGAAGAGGAGAGGCACTCTGCTTTTTAGAGTTTCCAGGTTTTCTGCTCTGTTTTTTCCCCATCTTTGTGGTTTTATCTACTTTTGGTCTTTGATGATGGTGATGTACCGATGGGTTTTTGGTGTGGATGTCCTTTCTGTTTGTTAGTTTTCCTTCTAACAGACAGGACCCTCAGCTGCAGGTCTGTTGGAGTACCCGGCCGTGTGAGGTGTCAGTCTGCCCCTGCTATGGGGTGCCTCCCAGTTAGCCTGCTTGGGGGTCAGGTGTCAGGGACCCACATGAGGAGGCAGTCTGCCCATTCTCAGATCTCCAGCTGCATGCTGGGAGGACCACTGCTCTCTTCAAAGCTGTCAGAAAGGGACATTTAAGTCTGCAGAGGTTACTGCTGTCTTTTTGTTTGTCTGTGCCCTGCCCCCAGAAGTGGAACCTACAGAGGCAGGCATGCCTCCTTGAGCTGTGGTGGGCTCCACTCAGTTCGAGCTTCCCGGCTGCTTTGTTCACCTAAGCAATCCTGGGCAATGGCTGTCGCCCCTCCCCCAGGCTCACTGCCGCCTTGTAGTTTGATCTCAGACTGCTGTGCTAGCAATCAGCGAGACTCCATTGGTGTAGGACCCTACGCCAACACCTGGTGTAAGCCATGTGTGGGATATAATCTCCTGGTGTGCCGTTTTTTAAGCCCGTCAGAAAAGTGCAGTCTTTGGGTGGGAGTGACCCGATTTTCCAGGTGCCGTCTGTCACCCCTTTCTTTGACTAGGAAAGGGAACTCCCTGACCCCTTGCACTTCCTGAGTGAGGCAATGCGTCACCATGCTTCTGCCATGCACGGTGCACTGCACCCACTGACCTGTGCCCACTGTCTGGCACTCCATAGTGACATGAACCCAGTACCTCAGATGGAAAAGCAGAAGTCACCTGTCTTCTGCGTCACTCACGCTGGGAGCTGTAGACCGGAGCTGTTCCTATTTGGCCATATTCGCTCCTCCTACACAAACCTTTCTTTTGATTGAGCAGTTTGGAAACACTCTTTCTGTAGAATCTACAAGTGGACATTTGGAGCGCTTTGTGGGCTATTGTAGAAAAGGAAATAACTTCATTGAAAATCTAGACACAAGCAATCTGAGAAACTTCTTTGTGATGTGTGCATTCATCTCACAGAGTTAAACTTTTCTTTTGATTGAGCAGTTTTGAAAGTCTCTTTTTGTAGAATCTGCAAGTGGACATTTAGAGCGCTTGAGGTCTATGGTGGAAAAGGAAATATAATCACATAAAAACTAGATGGAAACATTCTGAGAAACACCTTTCTGATGTATGCATTCAGCTCCCAGGGTTGACCATTCTTTTGAAAGACCAGTTTTGAAATACACTTTTTGTAGAGTCTGTAAGTGGACATTTAAACTGCCTTGGGGCCTACAGTGGAAAAGGAAATATCTTCACATAAAGTCTAGAAAGAAGCAATCTGAGAAACTTCTTTGTGATGTGTGCATTCATCTCACAGAGTTAAAACTTACTTTTGATTGAGGAGTTCTGAAACTCTCTCTTTGTAGAATCTGCAAGTGGACATTTGGAGCACTTTGCAGCCTATGGTATAGAAGGAAATATCTTCTCATAAAATCTAGACAGAAGCAATCTGAGAAACTTTGTGATCTGTGCATTCATCTCAAAGGGTTAAACTTTTCTTTTGATTCAGCAGTTTTGAAACTCTCTTTTTGTAGAATCTGCCGGTGGAAATTTGGAGTGCATTGTGGCCTATGGTAGAAAAGGATATATCTACACAAAAAATCTAGACAGAAGCAATCTTAGAAACTTCTTTGTGATGTGTGCATTCATCTCACAGAGTTAACACTTTGTTTGGATTGAACAGTTTTGAAACTCTCTTTTTGTGGAATCTGCAAGTGTACATTTGTAGCGCTTTGAGGTCTATGGTGGAAAAGGAAATATAATCACATAAAAACTAGATAGAAGCAATCTGAGAAACTTCTTTGTGAGGTGTGCATGCATCTCACAGAATTGAAACTTTCTTTTGATGGATCAGTTTTGAAATACACTTTTTGTAGAATCTGCAAGTGGACATTTCTAGTGCCTTCAGGCCTTTGGTGGAAAATGAAATATCTTCATATAAAAACTAGACAGAAGAATTCTGGGAAACTTCTTTGTGATGTGTACCTTCATCTCACAGAGTTGAATCCTTCTTTTGATTCAGCAGTTTGGAAAAACTCTTTGTAGAATCTGCAAGTGGACATTTGGTGTGCTTTGTGGCCTATTGTAGAAAAGGAAATATCTCCACATAAAATATAGACAGAAGCAATCTGAGAAACTACTTTGTGATGTGTGCATTCATCTCACAGAGTTAAAACTTTCTTTTGATTGAGCAGTTTTGAAACTCTCTTTTTGTAGAATCTGCAAGTGGACATTTGGAGTGCTTTGAGGCCTATGGTGGAAGAGGAAATATCTTGACATAAAAACTAGACAGAAGAATTCTGAGAAACTTCTTTGTGATGTGTGCATTCATCTCACAGATTTGAAACTTTCTTTCGATTGAGCAGTTTGGAAACACTCTTTTTGTAGAATCTGCAAGTGGACATTTGGAGTGCTTTGCAGCCTACTGTATAAAAGGAAATATCCTCACAGAAAATCTAGACACAAGCAATCTGAGAAACTTCTTTGTGATGTGTGCATTCATCTCACAGAGTTAAACCTTTCTTTTGATTGAGCAGAATTGAAACTCTTTTTTTGTAGAGTCTGTGGGAGGTCATTTGGAGCGCTTTGAGGCCTATGGTGGAAAAGGAAATATATTCACATAAAAACTACACAGAAGAATTTTGAGAGACTTCTTTGAGATGTGTGCATTCATCACACAGAGTGGAACCTTTCTTTCGATTGAACAGTTTGGAAACACTCTTTTTTTTTTTTTTACAATGGTAAATTATAAAAGTCAATTTAATGTAATACATAACAGTAATGGAGGATATGAGGAGTGAGAAAAGGTATGAGATATACAGAAAACAAAGAGAAGAATAGTAGAATTAGGTCCTATCTTAATTGTAATTACTTTATTTTTATTTTATTTTTTTTAATTATACTCTAAGTTTTAGGGTACATGTGCACATTGTGCAGGTTAGTTACATAAGTATACATGTGCCATGCTGGTGTGCTGCACCCACTAACGTGTCATCTAGCATTAGGTATATCTCCCAATGCTATCCCTCCCCCCTCCCCCGACCCCACCACAGTCCCCAGAGTGTGATATTCCCCGTCCTGTGTCCATGTGATCTCATTGTTCAATTCCCACCTATGAGTGAGAATATGCGGTGTTTGGTTTTTTGTTCTTGCGATAGTTTACTGAGAATGATGGTGGAAACACTCTTTTTATAGAATCTGAAAGTGGACATTTGGAAGGCTTTGTGGCCTATGGTAGAAAAGGAAAAATCTTCACATAAAATATAGACACAAGCAATCTGAAAAACTTATTTGTGATGTGTTTATTCATCTCACAGAGTTAACCTTTTCTTCTGATTGAGCAGTTTTGAAACTCTCTTTTTGAAGAATCTGCAAGTGGACATTTGGCGCGCTTGAGGTATATGGTGGAAAAGGAAATATAATCACATAAAAACTAGATAGAAGCATTCTGAGAAACTCCTTTGTGATGTGAGCATTCATTTCCCAGAGTTGAACTGTTCTTCGGAAAGACCAGTTTTCAAATATGCTTTTTGTAGAATCTGAAAGTGGACATTTCTAGGGCCTTGAGGCCTGTGGTGGAAAAGGAAATATCTTCACATAAAATCTAGACAGAAGCCATCTGAGAACCTTCTTTGTGATGTATGCATTCATCTCATTGACTTAAAAATCGCTTTTGATAGAGCAGTTTTGAAACTCTCTTTTTGTAGAATCTGCAAATGGACATTTGGAGCACTTTGAGGCCTATGGTGGAAAAGGAAATATCTTCACATAAATACTAGACAGAAGAATTCTGAGAAACTTCTTTGTGATGCGTGCGTTCATGACACAGAGTTGAAACTTTCTTTTGATTGAGCAGTTTGGTAACACTCTTTCTGCAAAATCTGCAAGGTGAAACTTGCAGAGCTTTGTGACCTATGTTAGTAAAGGAAATATTTTCACCTAAAATCTAGACAGAAGCCATCTGAGAAACTTCTTTATGATGTGTGCATTCATCTCACAGAGTTAAACCTTTCTTTTGATTGAGGAGTTTGGAGACTCTCTTTTTGTAGAATCTGCAAGTGGATATTTCGAGCGCTTTGAGGCCGATGGTGGAAAAGGAAATATTTTCATATAAAAACCAGACAGAAGAATTCTGAGAAACTACTTTGGGATGTTTCTGATCATCTCACAGAGCTGAACATTTCCTTTGATTGAGAAGTTTTGGAAACACTCTTTTTGTAGAATCTGCAAGTGGACATTTGGAGCGCTTTGTGGCTTGTGTAAGAAAAGGAAATATCTTCACATAAAATCTAGACAGAAGGAATCTGAGAAACTTCTTTCTGATGTGGGCATTCATCTCTGAGTTGAACCTCTCTTTTGATGGGCCAGTATTGACATACACTTTTTGTAGAATCTGAAAGTGGACATATCGAGCGCCTTGAGGCTTATGGTGGAAAATAATATATCTTCACATAAAATCTAAAAGAAGCAATCTGAGAAACTTCTTTGTGATGTGTGAATTCATCTCACAGAGTTAAACCTTTCTTTTCATTGAGCAGTTCTGAAACTCTCTTTTTGAAATGTCTGCAAGTGGACATTTGGAGCGTTTTGCAGCCTGTGGTAGAAAAGGAAATATCTTCTCATAAACTCTAGACAGAAGCAATCTGAGAAACTTCTTTGTGATGTGTGCATTCATCTCACAGAGTTAAAACTTTCTTATGATAGGGCAGTTTTGAAACTCTCTTTTTGTGGAATCAGCAAGTGGAGATTTGGAGCGCTTTGAGGTGTAGGGTGGAAAAGGATATATCTTCACTTGAAAACTAGGCAGAAGAATTCTGAGAGACTTCTTTGTGATGTGTGCGTTCATCTCATAGAGTTGAACCTTTCTTGTGATTGAGCAGTTTGGAAACACGCTTTTTGTGGAATCTGCAAGTGGACATTTGGAGCGCTTTGTGGCCTATGGTAGAAAAGGAAATATCTTCACATAAAATCTAGACAGTACCAATCTGATAAACTTCTTTGTGATGTGTGTATTCATCTCACAGACTTAACACTTTCTTTTCATTGAGTAGTGTTGAAACTCTCTTTTTGTAAAATCTGCAAGTGGACAATTGGAGCCCTTTGCAGCCTGTGGTAGAAAAGGGAACATATTCACATAAAACCTAGACTGAAGCAATCTGAGAAACTTCCTTGTGATGTGTGCTTTCATCTCACAGAGATAAAATTTTCTTTTGATTGAGCAGTTTTGAAACTCTCTTTTTGTAGAATCTGCAAGTGGATATTTGGAGTGCTTTGAGGCTTATGGTGGAAAAGGAAATATCTTCACATAAAAACTAGACAGAAGAATTCTGAGAAACCTCTTTTTGATGAGTGCACTCATCTCACAGACTTGAACCTTTCTTTTGATTGAGCAGATTTGAAACTCTCTTTTTGTAGAATCTGCAAGTGGACATTTGGAGCGCTTTGATGCCTATGGTGGAAAAGAACATATCTTCACGTAAAAACTAGATAGAAGCGTTCTGAGAAACTTCTTTATGATGTGTGCATTCATATCCCAGAGTTGAACCTTTCTTTTGAAGGACCAGTTTTGAAATACGCTTTTTGTACAACCTGCAAGTGGACATTTTGAGAGCTTTGCAGCCTATAGTAGAAAAGGAATTGTCTTCACAAAAAATCTAGACAGAAGCAATCTGAGAAACTTCTTTGTGATGTGTGCATTCATCTCACTGATTTAAACCTTTCTTTTGATTGAGCAGTTTTGAAACTCTCTTTTTGTAGAAACTGCAACTGGACATTTGGAGCACTTTGAGGCCTTTGGTGGAAACGGAAATATCTTCACATAAATACTAGAAAGAAGAATTCTGAGAAACTTCTCTGTGATATGTGCTTTTGCCTCACAGAGTTGAACCTTTCTTTTGATTGAGCAGTTTGGAAACACTCTTTTCTAGAATCTGCAAGTGAACTTTTGGAGCACTTTGCGGTCCGTGGTAGAAAAGGAAAAATCTTCACATAAAATCTAAACAGAAGCAATCTGAGAAACTTCTTTGTGATGCTTGCATTCATCTCACAGAATTAAACCTTTCTTTGGATGGAGCAGTTTTGAAACTCTCTTTTTGTAGAATCTGCAAGTGGACATTTGGAGCGCATTGAGGCCTATGGTGGAAAAGGTAATATCTTCACATAAAAACTAGACAGAAGAATTCTGAGAAACTGCTTTGTGATGTATGCGTTCATCTCACAGAGGTGAACTTTTCTTTTGATTGAGCAGTTTAGAAACACTCTTTTGGTAGAATCTGCAAATTTACATTTTGAGCACCTTGGGGTGTATGGTGGAAAATGAAATATCTTCACATAAAAACTAGACAGAAGAATTCTGAGAAACTTCTTTCTGATGCATGCGTTCATCTCACAGAGTTGAACTTTTCTTTTGATTGAGCAGTTTGGAAACCTTCTTTTGTAGAATCTGCAACAATATATTTGGAGCACTTTGTGGCCAATGGTAGAAAAGGAACAATCATCACATAAAATCTAGACAGAAGGAATCTGAGGAACTTCTTTGTGATGTGTGCATTCATCTCACAGAGTTAAACCTTTCTTTTGATTGAGCTGTTTTGAAACTGTCTTTTTGTAGAATCTGCAGGTGGACGTTTGGATCCCTTTTAGGCCTTTAGTGGAAAAGGAAATATCTTCACATAAAAACTAGACAGAAGTATTCTGGGAAACTTCTTTGTGATGTGTGCGTTTATCTCACAGAGTTGAACCTTTCTTTTGATTGAGCAGTTTGGAAATACTCTTTTTGTAGAATCTGCAAGTGGACATTTGGAGCATTTTGCGGCATATGGTAAAAAAGGAAATATCTTCACATAAAATCTAGACAGAAGCAATCTGAGAAACTTCTTTGTGATGTGTGCATTCATCTCACAGAGTTATCCCTTTCTTTTGATTGAAAGGTTTTGAAACTCTCTTTTTGTAGAATCTGCAAGTGGACATTTGGAGCACTTTGAGGAGTATGGTGGAAAAGGAAATATCTTCACATTAAATCTAGACAGAAGCAATCTGAGAGACTTCTTTGTGATGTGTGTGTTCATGTCACAGAGTTGAACCTTACTTTTCATTGAGCAGTTTTGAAACAGTCTTTTTGTAGAATCTGCAAGTTGACATTTGGAGTGCTTTGAGGCCTATGGTGGAAAAGGAAATATATTCATATAAAAACTAGATAGAAGCATGCTGAGAAACTTCTTTGTGATGTGTGTGTTCATATCTCAGAGTTGAACCCTTCTTTTGAAGGACCAGTTTTGAAATCCTCTTTTTGAAGAGTCTGCAATTGGATATTTAGAGCGCCTTGAAGCCTATGTTGGAAAAGGAAATATCTTCACTTAAAATCTAGACAGACAGAAGCAATCTGAGAAACTTCCTTGTGATGTGTGCTTTCATCTCAGAGAGTTGAACCTTTTTTTTTTTTTTTTTTTTTTTTTTTTTTTTTTTTTTGGAGACGGAGTCTCGCTCTGTCGCCCAGGCTGGAGTGCAGTGGCGGGATCTCGGCTCACTGCAAGCTCCGCCTCCCGGATTCACGCCATTCTCCTGCCTCAGCCTCCCAAGTAGCTGGGACTACATGAACCTTTTTTTTGATTGAGAAGTTTGGAAACACTCTTTTTGTAGAATCTGCAATTGAACATTTGGAGAGCTTTGTGGCCTATTGTTTAAAAGGAAATATCTTCACATAAAAAATAGAAAAATTCTGAGAAACTTCTTTGTGATTTGTGTGTTCATGTCACAGAGTTGAACCTTTTTTTTAATTGAGTAGTTTGAAACACTCTTTTTGTAGAATCTGCAAGTGGATATTTGGAGCACTTTGCAGCCTATAGTAGAAAAGGAAATATCTTCACATAAAATCTAGACAGAAGAAATCTGAGAAACTTCTTTGTGATGTGTGCATTCATATCACAGAGTTAAACCTTTCTTTTGATAGAGCAATTTTGAAATTATCCTATGTAGAACCTCCAATTGGACAATTTTAACCCTTTGAGGCCTATGGTGGAAAAGTAATATCTTCACATAAAAACTAGATAGAAGAATTCTGAGAAACTTCTTTATGATACATGCATTCATCTCACAGAGTTTAACCTTTTTTTTTTAATTGCACAGTTTGGAAACACTCTTTTTGTAGAATCTGCAAGTGGACATTTGGAGAACTTTGTGGCCTATGTTAGAAAGAAAATATTTTCACATAAAAACTACACAGAATAATTCTGAGAAACTTTTTTGTGATGTGTGCGTTCATCTTACAGAATTGAACCATTCTTTTGATTGAACAGTTTGGAAACACTCTTTTTGTACAATCTGCAAGTGGACATTTGGAGCACTTTGTGGCCTATGATAAAAAAGGAAATATCTTCACATAAAAACTACACAGAAGAATTCTGAGAAACTTCTTTGTGATGTCTGTGTTCATCTCACAGATTTGAACCATTCTTTTGATTGAACAGTTTGGAAACACTCTTTTTGTACAATCTGCAAGTGGACATTTGGAGTGCTTTGTGGCCTGTTGTAGAAAAGAAAATATCTTCACATAAAATCTAGAAAGAAGCAATCTGAGAAACTTCTTTGTGATTTGTGCATTCATCTCACAGAGTTAAACCTTTCTTTTGAATGAGCAGTTTGAAACTCTCTTTTTGTAGAATCTGCAAGTGGACATTTGGAGGGCTTTGATGCCTATGGTGGAAAAGGAAATATCTTCACATAAAAACTACATAGAAGGATTCTTAGAAACTTCTTTGTGATGTGTGCATTCGTGTCTCATAGTTGAACCTTTCTTTTGAAGGACCAGTTTTGAAATCCTCTTTTTGAAGAATCTGCAAGTGGACATTTCGTGCACCTTGGGGACTATGGTGGAAAAGGAAATATCTTCACATAAAAACTAGACAGAATCAATCTGAGAAACTTCCTTGTGATATGTTCATTTATATCACAGAGTTAAACTTTTCTTTTGATAGAGCAGTTTTGAAACTCTCTTTTTGTGGAAACTGCAAGTGGATATTTGGAGCCGTTTGCGGCCAGTTTTAGAAAAGGAAATATCTTTACATAAAAACTACACAGAAGCATTCTGAGAAACATCTATGTGATGTGTGCATTCTTCTCACATAGGTGAAATTTTCATTTGATTGAGCAGTTTTCAAACACTCTTTTTGTAGAATCTGCAAGGGTATAATTGGAACGAATTTAGGCCAATTGTTGAAAAGGAAATATCGTCACATAAAAACTACACAGAAGCATTATCAGAAACTTCTTTGTGATGTGTGCATTCACCTCACAATGTTGAAACTTTCTTTTGATTGAGCAGTTTGGAAATAATCTTTTCGTAGAATCTGCAAGTGGATATTTGGAGCCCTTGGAGGCCTAATGTGGAAAAGGAAATATCTTCACATAAAAAATACACAGAAGTATTCTGATAAACTTCCTTTTGATGAGTGTATTCAATTCATAGAGTTGAACCTATCTTTTGTTAGAGGAGTTTTGAAACTCTCTTTTTTTTTGTAAACCTCAAGTGGATATTTGGAGCCCTTTGTGACCTATGGTGGAAAAGGAAATATCTTCTCATAAAAACTACACAGAAGCATTCTGAGTAGCTTCTTTGTCATGTGTGCATTCATCTTACAGAGCTGAACATTTCATTTGATTGAGGAGTTTTGAAACACTTTATTTGTAGAATCTGCAAGTGGATACTTGCAGGGCTTTGAGGCCTACTGTACAAAAGGAAATATCTTCCCATAAAAATTAACAGAAGTATTCTCAGAAACTTCTTTTTGATGTGTGAATTCATCTCACAGAGTTGAACCTTATTTTGATTGAGCAGTTTTGAAACACTCTTTTGTAGAATCTGCAAGAGGATATTTCGAGCGCTTTCAGGTCTAAGGTGGAAAAGGTAATATCTTCACATAAAAACTACACAGAAGCATTCTGAGAAACTCCTTTGTGATGTGTGCTTTCATCTCACAGAGTTGAACCTTTCTTTTGATTGAGCAGTTTTGAATCTCTCTTTTTGTAGAATCAGTAGATGGATATTTAGAGGGCTTGGAGGCCAATGGTGTAAAAGGAAATATCTTCACATAAAAACTACACAGAAGCATTCTGAGGAACTTCTTTGTGATGTGTGCATTCAACTCACAGAGTTGAACCTATCTGTTGATAGAGCAGTTTTTAAACTCTCTTTTTGTAGAATCTACAAGTGGTAATTTAGAGCCCCTTGTGGCCGATGGTGGAAAAGGAAATATCTTCATATAAAAACTACACAGAAGCTTTCTGATAAACTTCTTTCTAATGTGTGCATTCATCTCACAGAGTTGAACATCCCATTTTATTGAGCAACTTGGAAACACTGTTTTTGTAAAATGTGCAAGTGGATATTTGGAGCGCTTTGTGTCCTAATGTGGAGAAGGAAATATCTTCACAAAAAAACTACACAGAAGCATTCCGAGAAACCTCTTTGTGATGTGTGCATTCATCTCACAGAGTTGAACCTATCTTTTGATAGAGCAGCTTTGAAAATCTCTTTTTGTAGAATCTGCAATGGATATTAGAGCCCTTTGCGGCCTAAGGTGGAAAAGTAACTATCTTCACATAAAAACTACATAGAAGCATTCTGATAAACTTCTTTGTGATGTGTGCATTCATCTTAAAAAGTTGAACCTTTCTTTTCATTGAGCAGTTTTGAAACACTCTTTTCGTAGAATCTGCAAGTGGATATTTGCAGGGCTTTATGGCAAATGGTGGTAAAGGAAATATCTTCACATAAAAACTACACAGAAGTATTCTGATAAACTTCCTTTTGATGAGTATATTCAATTCACAGAGTTAAACCTATCTTTTGTTAGAGGAGTTTTGAAACTCTCTTTTTTTCTTTGTAAACCTCAAGTGGATATTTGGAGCCCTTTGCAGCCTATGGTGGAAAAGGAAATATCTTCTCATAAAAACTACACAGAAGCATTCTGGGAAACCACTTTGTGATGTGTGCATTCATCTCACAGGGTTGAACCAATCTTATGATTGAGCAGTTTTGAAACAATCTTTTTGTAGAATCTGCAGGTGGATAATTGCAGGGCTTTGAGGCCTACTGTAGAAAAGGAAATATCTTCCCATAAAATTTAACAGAAGTATTCTCAGAAACTTCTTTTTGATGTGTGAATTCACTACACAGAGTTGAAGCTTACTTTGATTGAGCAGTTTTGAAACACTCTTTTTGTAGAATCTGCAAGAGGATATTTCGAGCGCTTTGAGGCCTATGGTGGAAAAGTTAATATCTTCACATAAAAACTACACAGAAGCATTCTGAGTAACTTTTTGTATTGTGTGCATTCATCTCACAGAGTTGAACCTATGTTTTGTTAGAGCAGCTTTAAAGCTCTCTTTTTGTAGAGTCTGCAAGTGGATATTTGGAGCCCTTTGCAGCCTATGGTGGAAAATTCAATATCTTCACACAAAAACTACACAGATGCATTCTGAGAAACTTCATTGTGATGTGTGCATTCATCTCACAGAGATGAACCTTTCTTTTTATTGAGTAGTTTTGAAACACTCTTTTCGTAGAATCTGCAAGTGGATACTTGGAGTGCTTTGAAGTCCATGGAGAAAAAGGAAATATCTTAACATAAAAACTACAGAGAAGCATTCTGAGCAACTTCTTTGTGATGTGTGCAATCATCTCACGGAGTTGAACATTTTATTTGATTGAGCAGTTTTGAAACACTCTTTTTGTAATATCTGCAAGTGGATATTTGCAGTACTTTGAGGTCTACTGTGGAAAATGAAATGTCTTCCCATAAAAACTACAGAGAAGTATTCTCAGAAACTTTTTGTGATGTGCCCATTCATCTCACAGAGTTGAACATTACTTTTATTTGAGCAGTTTGGAAACACTCTTTTATTAGAATCTGCAAGTGGATATTTTGAGCCCTTGGAAGCCTATTGTGGAAAAGGAAATATCTTCACATAAATACTACACAGAAGCATTCTGAGAAACTTCTTTGTGATGTGTGCATTCATCTCACAGAGTTGAACCGTTCATTTGATTGAACAGTTTGGAAACACTCTTTTTGTAGAAACTGCAAGTGGATATTTGGAGCCCTTTGCAGCTAATGGTGGAAATGGAAATATCTTCACATAAAAACTACACAGGAGCATTCTGAGAAACTTCTTTGTGATGTGCGCATTCATCTCACAGAGCTGAACCTTTCTTTTGAGTGAGTAGTTTTGAAACACGCTTTTTGTAAAATCTGCAAGTGAATATTTGGAGCGCTTTGAGGCCTATGGTGGAAAAGGAAATATCTAAACATAAAAACTACACAGAAGGATTCTGGGAAACTTCTCTGTGATTTTTGCATTCACCTCACAGAGTTGAACCTTTCTTTTGATTGAGCAGTTTTTATATACTCTTTTTGTACAATCTAAAATTGGATATTTGGAGCTATTTGTGGCCAATGGTGGAAAAGGGAATATCTTCACATGAAAATTACACAGAAGCATACTGAGAAACTTCTTTGTGATGTGTGCTTTCATGTCATAGTGTTGAACTTTTCTTTTGATTGAGCAGTTTGGAAACACTTTTTTGTAGAATCTGCAAGTGGATATTTGGAGTGATTTGAGGCCTATGGTGGAAAAGGAAATATCTTCACATAAAAACTACACTGAAAAATTCAGTGAAACTTCTTTGTGATGTGTGCATACATCATACAGAGTTGAACCTCTCTTTAAATATAACAGTTTTGAAACTCTCCTTTTGTGGAATCTGCAAGTGGGTATTGGGAGACTTTGCGACCTATGGTGGAAAAGGAAATATCTTCACATAAAAACTACACAGAAGCATTCTGAGAAACTTCTTTGTGATGTGTGCATTCATCTCACGGAGTTGAAACTTTCATTTGATAGAACAGTTTTGAAACACTCTTTTTGTACAATCTGCAAGTGAATATTTGGAGCACTTTGAGGCCTATGGTGGAAAATGAAATATCTTCACATAAAAACTACACAGAAGCATTCTGAGAAACTTTATTGTGATGTGTGCATTCATCTCACAGGGTTGAATCTATCTTTTGGTTGAGCAGTTTTGAAATTCTGTTTTTGTAGAATCGCAAGTGGATATTTGGAGCCCTTTGTAGCCTACTGTGGAAAAGGAAGTATCTTCTATTAAAAACTACACAGAAGGATTCCGACAAACTGCTTTGTGATGTGTGAATTCATCCCACAGAGTTGAAACTTTCTTTTGATTGAGCAGTATTGAAACACTCTTTTCGTAGAATCTGCATGTGGATATTTGCAGCCCTTTGATGCCTATGGTGGAAAAGGAAATATCTTCACATAAAAAATACACAGAAGCATTCTGAGAAACTTCTTTGTGATTTGTGCTTTCAACTCAAAGAGTTGAATTTGACTTTTGATAGAGCAGTTTTTAAACTCTGTTTTTGTAGAATCTGTAAGTGGATATTTGGAACCCTTTGCCACCTATTGTGGAAAAGGAAACATCTTCACATAAAAACTACACAGAAGCGTTCTGAGAAACTTCTTTTTGATGTGTGCATTCAACTCACAGAGTTGAACCTATCTTTTTATATAGCAGTTTTGAAACTCTCTTTTTGTAGAATATGCAAGTGAATACTTGGAACGCTTTGAGGCCTATGGTGGAAAAGGAAATATCTTCACATAAAAACTACACAGAAGCATTATGAGAAATTTCTTTGTGATGTGTACATTCTTCTCACAGATTTGAACCTCTCTTTTGATTGAGCAGTTTGGAAACATTCTTTTTGTAGAATCTCCTAGTGGATATATTGAGCCCCTTGAGACCTATTGTGGAAAAGGAAATATCTTCACATAAAAACTACAAAGTAGCATTCTGAGAAACTTCTTTGTGATGTGTGCATTCAACTCACAGAGTTGAACCTATCTTTTGATAGAGCAGTATTGAAACTCTTTTTGTGGAATCGGCAAGGGGATATTTGTGACCATTTGCAACCTATGGAGGAAAAGGAAATATAAAAACATAAAAACAACACAGAAGCATTCCTAGAAACTTCTTTGTGATGTGTGCCTTCAACTAACAGAGATGAACCTATCTTTTGATTGAGCAGTTTTTAAACTCTCTTTTTGTGGGATCTTCAAGTGGATATTTGGAGCCCTTTGTGCTCTACTGTGGAAAAGGAAATATCTGCAAATGAAAACTACACTGAAGCATTCAGAGAAACTTCTTTGTGATGAGTGTATTCATCACACAGAGTTGAAACCTACCTTTGATTGAGCAGTTTTGAAAGGCTCTTTTTGTAGAATCTACAAGTGGAAATTTGGAGAGCTTTGGGGCCAATTGTGGAATATCTTCACGTAAAAAGGGCACAGAAACATTCTGGGAAACTTCTTTGTGATGTGTGCACTCAACTCACAGAGTTGAAACTATCTTTTGATTGGACAGATTTGAATCTCTCTTTTTGTAGAATCCGCATGTGGATATTTGGAGCCCTTTGCAGCCTTCGGTGGAAAAGGAGATATCTTGAAGTAAAAACTACACAGAAGCATTCTGAGAAACTTCTTTGTGATGTGTTCATTCATCTCACAGAGTTAAGCCTATCTTATGATTGAGCGGTTTTGAAACACTCTTTTTGTAGAATCTGCAAGTCGATATTTGGAGCGACTTGAGGCCTATTGTGGAAAAGGAAATATCTTCACATAAAAACTACACAGAAACATTTTGTGAAACTTCTTTGTGATGTGTACATTCATCTCACAGGGTTGAAACTATCTTTTGATTGAGCAGTTTAGAAACTCTCTTTTTTCAGAATCTGTAAGTGGATATTTGGAGAGCTTTGAGGCCTATTGTGGAAAAGGAAATAAATGTACATAAAAACTTCACAGAAGCATTCTGAGAAACTTCTTTGTGATGTGTGCATTCCACTCAGATAGTTGAACCTATCTTTTGATTGAGCTGTTTTTGAATGTCTCTTTTTGTAGAATCTGCAAGTGGATGTTTGGAGCCCTTTGTGGCCTATGGTCGAAAAGGAAATATCTTCTAATAAAAACTACACAGAAGCATTCTGAGAAACTTCTATGTGATGTGTGCATTCATCTCACAGGGTTGAAACTATCTTATGATTGAGAAGTTTTGAAACACTCTTTTTGTAGAATCTGCAAGTGGATATTTTGAGTGCTTTGGGGCCTATGGTGGAAAAGGAAATATCTTCACATAAAACCCACACAGAAGCATCTGAGAAACTTCTTTGATATGTGTGCATTCAACTCACAGAGTTGAACCTGTCTTTTTATTGAGCAGTTTTGAATATCTCTTTTTGCAAAATCTGCAGCTGTATATTTGGAGCTCTTTGAGGCCTACTGTGGAAAAGCAAATATCTTCACATAAAAACAACACAGAAGCATTCTTAGAAACTTCTTTGTGAGGTATGCATTCAACTCACAGAGTCGAATCTATGTTTAGATTGAGCATTTTCAATCTCTCTTTTTGCAGAATCTGCAACTGGATATTTGGGGACTTTTGAGGCCTATTGTGGAAAAGAAAATATCTTCATATATAATCTACACAGAAGCATTCTGAGAGACTTCTTTGCAATGTGTGCTTTCAACTCAGAGTGTTGAACCTGTCTTTTGATTGAGCAGTTTTGAATCTCTCTTTTCGTAGAATCTGCAAATGGATATATGGAGCCCTTTGCAGCGTAAGGTGGAAAAGGAAATATCTTCAAATAAAAACTACATAGAAGCATTCTGAGAAACTTCTTTCTGATGTGTGCATTCATCTCACAGGGTTGAACCCATCTTATGACTGAGCAGTTTTGAAACACTCTTTTTTAGAATCTGCAAGTGGATATTTGGAGCACTTTTAGGCCTATTGTGGAAAACGAAATACCTTTACAGAAAAAACTACATAGAACCATTCTGAGAAACTTCTTTGTGATGTGTGCCATCAACTCACCGAGTTGAACCTATCATTTGATTGAGCAGTTTTTAAACTCTCTTTTTGTAGAATCTGCAAGTGGATATTTGGAGCCCTTTGTGCTCTACAGTGTAAAAGGAAATATCTTCAAATAAAAACTACACAGAAGCATTCAGAGAAACTTCTTTGTGATGAGTGCATTTATCAGAGAGAGTTGAAAACTTCCTTTGATTGAGCAGTTTTGAAACACCCTTTATGCAGAATCTGCAATTGGATATTGGGAGAGATTTGGGGCCCATTGTGGAAAAGGAAATATCTTCACATGAAAACTACACAAAAGCATTCTGGGAAACTTCTTTGTTATGTGTGCATTCAACTCACAGATTAAAACTTATCTTTTGATTGAGCAGTTACATATCTCTCTTTTGGAGAATCTGCAAGTGGATATTTGGAGTGCTTTGAAGCCTACTGTGGAAAAGCAAATATCTTCAAATAAAAACTACATAGAAGCATTCTGAGAAACATCTTTGTGAGGTATGCATTCAAATCACACAGTAGAAGCTATTTTTTGATTGAGCAGTTTTGAATCTCTCTTTTTGCAGACTCTACAAGTGGATATTCATAGAGCTTTGAGACGAATTGTGGAAAAGGAAATATCTTCACATTAAAACTACACAGAAGCATTCTGGGAAACTTCTTTGTGATGTGTGCATTCAACTCGCAGAGTTGAACCAATGTTCTGATTGAGCAGTTTTGAATCTCTCTTTTTGTATAATCTGCAAGTGAATATTTGGAGCCCTTTGCAGCCTATGCTGGAAAAGGAAATATCTTCAAATAAAAACTACAGTGAAGCATTCTGAGAAACTTCTTTGTGATGTGTGCATTCATCTTGCAGGGTTATAGCAATCTTATGATTGAGCAGTTTTGAAACACTCTTTTTGAAGAATCTGCAAGTCGATATTTGGAGCGCCTTGAGGCCTATTGTGGAAAAGGAAATATCTTCACATAAAAACTGCACAGAAGCATTCTGAGAAACTTCTTTGTGATGTGTGCATTCATCTCACAGAATTGAAACTTTCTTTTGATTGAGCAGTTTTGAAACACTCTTTTGGTAGAATCTTCATGTGGATATTTGGAGCGCTTTGAGGCCCATTGTGGAAAAGGAAGTATCTTCCCATAAACACTACACAGCATTCTGAGAAACTTCTTTGTGATGTATGCATTCATCTCACAGAGTTGAAACTCTCTTTTGATTGAGCAGTTTTGAAACTGTCTTTTTGTAGAATCTGCAAGTGGATATTTGGAGCGATTTGAGGCCTACCATGGAAAAGGAAGTATCTTCACATAAAAACTACACAGAAGCATTCTGAGAAACTCCTTCATGATTTGTGCATTCAAATCACAGAATGGAACCTATCTAATGATTGAGCAGTTTTGAATCTCTCTTTTTGCAGAATATGTAACTGGATATTTTGAGAGCTTTGAGGCCAATTGAGGAAAAGGAAATATCTTCACATAAAAACTACACAGAAGCATTCTGAGAGACTTCTTTGTGATGTGTGCTTTAAACTCATATTGTTGAATCTATCTTTTCATTGAGCAATATTGAATCTCTCTTTTTGTAGAATCTGCAAGTGGATATATGGAGCCCTTTGTGGCCTATAGTGGAAAAGGAAATATCTTCAAATAAAAACTACACAGAAGCATTCTGAGAAACTTCTTTGTGATGTGTGCATTCATCTCACAGGGTTGAACCTATATTATGATTGAGCAGTTTTGAAACACTCTTTTTGTAGAATCTGCAAGTGGATATTTGGAGCACTTTGAGGCCTGTTGTGGAAAAGGGAATATCTTCACATAAGTACTACACAGAAGCATTCTGTGAAATTTCTTGTTATGTGTGCATTCAACTCACAGAGTTGAAGCTGTCTTTTGATTCAGCAGTTTTGACTCTCTCTTTCTGTAGAATCTGCAAGTGGATATTTGGAGCCTTTTGCACCCTATGATGGAAAAGGAAATATCTTCAACAAAAAAAAAAACTACACAGAACCATTCTGCGGAAATTCTTTGTGATGAGTGCATTCATCACAAAGAGTTGAAACTTTCTATTGACTGAGTAGTTTTGAAACACTATTTTGTAGAATCTGGAAGTGGATATTTCAAGGGCTTTGAGGTCAATTTTGGAAAAGGAAATATCTTCAGATAAAACTACCCAGAAGTATTCCGGCAAACTTCGTTGTTATGTGTGCATTCAACTCACAGATTCGAACCTATCTTTTGATAGAGCTGTTTTGAAACTCTCTTTTTGTAGAAATTGCAATTGAATATTTGGAGAGCTTTGTGGCCTGTGGTAGAAAATGAAATACCCTCACATAAAATCTAGACAGATGCAATCTGAGAAACCTCTGAGTGATGTGTGCATTCATCTCACAGAGTTACACCTTTCTTTTGATTGAGCAGTTTTGAAACTCTCTTTTTGTAGAATCTGCAAGTGGATATTTAGAGCGCTTTGGTGCCTATGGTAGAAAAGGAAACATCTTCACATAAATTGTAGACAGAAGCAATCTGAGAAACTAGTTTGTGATGTGTGTATTCCTCTCACAGAGTTAAAACTTTCTTTTGAGTGAGCGGTTTTGAAACTGTCTTTTTGTAGAATCCGCAAGTGGATATTTGGAACGTTTTAAGGTCTGTGGTGGAAAAGGAAATATCTTCACATAAAAAGAAGACAGAAGCAATCTGATAAACTTCTTTGTGATGTGGGCATTCATCTCACAGAATTAAACTTTTCTTTTGATTGAGGAGTTTTGAAACTCTGTTTTTGTAGAATCCGCAAGTGGATATTTGGAGCGCTTTGAGGCATATGGTGGAAAAGGAAATATCTTAACATAAAAACTAGACAGAAGAATTCTGAGAAACAACTTTGTGATGTGTGCATTCATTTCACATAGTTGAACCTTTCTTTCAATTGAGCAGTTTGGAAACACTCTTTTTGTAGAATCTGCCAGTGGACATTTGGAGAGTTTTGCGGACTATGGTAGAAAAGGAAATATCTTCACATAAAATCTAGACAGAAGCAATCTGAGAAACTTCTTTGAGATACGTGTATTCATCTCATGGAGTTAAACTTTTCTTTTGATATAGCAGTTTTGAAACTCTCTTTTTGTAGCATCTACAAGTGGATATTTGGACCACTTTGAGGCCAATGTTGGAAAAGGAAATATCTTCACATAATGTCTAGACAGAAGCAATCTGAGAAACTCCTTTGTGATGTGTGCATTCATCTCACAGAGCTGAAGTTTTCTTTTGATGGAGCAGATTGGAAACTCTCTTTTTGTAGAATTTGCAAGTGGACATTTGGAGCACTTTGAGGCCTGCTGTGGAAAAGGAAATATCCTCACATAAAATGTAGACAGAATAATTCTGAGAAACTTCTTTGTGATGCGGACGTTCTTCTCACAGAGTTGAACATTACTTTTGATTGAGCAATTTGGAGACACTCTTTTTTTAGAATCTGCAAATGGACATTTGGAGCGCTTTGGGGCCTATGGTAGAAAAGGAAACTTCTTCACGTAAATTATATACAGAAGCAATCTGAGAAACTACTTTGTGATGTGTGCATTCATCTTACAGAGTTAAAACTTTCTTTTGAGTGAGCAGTTTTGAAACCGTCTTTTTGTAGAAGCTGCAAGATGATATTTGGAGCGGTTTGAGGCCTGCAGTGGAAAAGGAAATATATTCACATAAAAACTAGACAGAAGAATTCTGAGAAACTTCTTTGTGATGTGTGCGTTCATCACAGAGAGTTGATCATTTCTTTTGTTTGAGCAGTTCTAAAACTCTCTCTTTGTGATATGAAGATACTTCCTTTTCTATCGTAGGCCACAAAGCGTTCCAAATGTCCACCTGCAGATTTTACAAAAAGAGTGTTTCCAAACTGCTCAATCAAAAGAAAGCTTCAACTCTGTGAGATGAATGTACATATAGCAAATAAGTTTCTCAGATTGTTTCTTTCTCGATTTTATGTGAAGATATTTCCTTTTCTACCATAGGCCACAAAGCGTTCCAAATATCCACTTGCTGATTCTACAAAAAGAGTTTTTCCAAACTGCTCAATCAATATAAAGGTTCAACTCTGGGAGATGAATGTACGCATCACAAAAAAGTTTGTCAGAATTCTTCTGTCTAGTTTTTATGTGAAGATATTTCCCTTTTCAACATAGCCCTCAAAGCCCTCCAAATGTCCACTTGCAGATTCTACAAAAAGAGTTTCAAAACTACTCAATGACAACAAAGGTTTAACACCGTGAGATGAATGCATACATAACAAAGAAGTTTCTCAGATTGCTTCTGTCTAGATTTTATGTGAAGATATTTCCTTTCCTACCATAGGCTGCTAAGTGCTCCAAATCTCCACTTGCAGATTCTACAAAAAGAGTGTTTCCTAACTGCTCAATCAAAAGAAAGGTTCAACTCTGTGAGATGAATGCACACATCACAAAGAAGTTTCTCAGATTGCTTCTTTCTAGATTTCAAGTGAAGATATTTCCTTTTGTACCTTAGGCAGCAAAGCGCTGCAAATGTCCACTTGCAGACACTGAAAAAATAGTGCTTCCAAACTGCTAAATCAAAAGAAAGTTTCAACTTTGTGAGATGAATGCACACATCACAAAGAAGTTTCCCAGAATTCTTCTGTCTAGTTTTTATGTGAAGATGTTTCCTTTTCCAGAATACGCCTCAAGGCGTTGCAAATGTCCACTTGCAGATTCTCCAAAAACAGAGATTTGAAACTGCTCTATCAAAAGAAACGTTTAACTCTGTGAGATGAATGCACACATCACAAAGAAGTTTCCCAGATTTCTTCTGTCTAGATTTTATATGAAGAATTTCCTTTTCTACCATAAACCGTGCAATGCTCCAAATGTCCAGTTGCAGATTTTACAAAAAGAGTGTTTCCATACTGCTCAATCAAAAGAAAGGTTCCACTCTGTGAGATGAATGCACACATCAAAAAGAAGTTTCTAAGAATTCTTCTGTCTAGTTTTTATGTGAAGCTATTTCCTTTTCCACCATAGGCCTCAAAGCACTCCAAATGCCCACTAGGAGTTTCTACAAAAAGAGAGTTTCAAAACTGCTCAATCAAAAGAAAGTTTTAACTCTGTGAGATGAATGCCCACATCACAAAGAAGTTTCTCTGATTGCTTCTGTCTAGATTTTATGTGAAGATATTTCCTTTTCTAACATAGGCCACAAGGTGATCCAAATGTCCACTTGCAGATTCTACAAAAAGAGTGTTTCCAAACTGCTCAATAAAAAGAAATGTTCAACTCTGTGAGATGAATGCACACATCACAAAGAAGTTTCTCAGAATACTTCTACCTAGTTTTTATGTGAAGATATTTCCCTTTCCACCATAGGCATCAAAACGCTCCAAATGTCCACTAGCAGATTCTACAAAAGGAGACTTTTGAAACTCCTCAATCAAAAGAAAGGTTTAACTCTTTGAGATGAATGTGCACATCACAAAAAAGTTTCTCAGATTATTTCTGTCTGAATTTTATGTGAAGATATTTCCTTTTCTGCCATAGGAAAAAAAGCACTCCAAATGTCCACTTGCAGATTCTGCAAAAAGAGTGTTTCCATACTGCTCAATAGAAAGAAAGGTTCAACTCTGTGAGATGAACGCACACATCACAAAGAAGTTTCTCAGAATTCTTCTTTCTAGTTTTTATGTGAAGATATTTCCTTTTCCACTATAGGCCTCAGAGCGCTCCAAATGTCAACTTGCAGATTCTACAAAAAGAGAGTTTCAAAACTGCTCAATCAAAAGAAAGTTTTAACTCTGTGAGATGAATGCACACATCACAAAGAAGTTTCTCAGTTTGCTTCTGTCTTGATTTTATTTGAAGATATTTCTTTTTCTTTTATAGGGCGCAAAGCACTCCAAATGTCCACTTGCAGATTCTACAAAAAGATTGTTTACAAACTGCTCAATAAAAAGAAAGTTTCAACTCTGTGAGATGAATGGACACATCACAAAGCAGTTTCTCAGAATTCTTCTGTCTAGTTTTAGTGTGAAGATAATTCCTTTCCCACTATAGGCCTAAAAACCCTCAAAATGTCCACTGGCAGATTCTACAAAAAGAGAGTTTCAAAACTCCTCAATCAAAAGAAAGTTTTAACTCTGTGGGATGAATGCACACGTCACAAAGAAGTTCCTCAGATTGCTTCTCTCTAGATTTTATGTGAAGATATTTCCTTTTGTAACTTTGGCCGCAAAGCCCTCCAAATGTCCACTTGCAGATTCTGCAAAAGATTGTTGCCAAAATGCTCAATCGAAAGAAAGTTTCAACTCTGTGAGATGAACTCAGGCATCACAAAGAAGTTTCTCATAATTCTTCTGTCTAGTTTTTATGTGAAGATGTTTCCTTTCCCACCATAGGCCTCAAAGCACTCCAAATGTTCACTTGCAGATTCTACAAAAAGAGATTTTATAGACTGTTTAATCAAAAGAAAGGTTTAACTCTGTGAGGTGAATGCACACATCACAAAGTAGTTTCTGAGATTGCTTCTGTCTAGATTTTATTTGAAGATATTTCCTTTTCTAACATAGGCCGCAGAGCCCTCCAATGTTCTACTTGCAGATTCTACAATAAGAGTATTTCCAAACTGCTCAATCAAAAGAAATGTTCAACTCTGTGAGATGAACTAACGCATCACAAAGAAAGGTGAAAACTAAGTACAATATTTTAAACAACAAAAAATACCAAGTATGCATTGTGATGGAGAGGGAAAGTCCTGGGTCCCAAGAGTATAACAGGCACTGAGCCTAGCGTGGGGTCCAGGCGTCTCTGGCATCGTGCCTTCCTAGGTCGTGGTTGTCCCTCCTTGTTGCTCCTGCTGTCTTCTTCAGTTACATCTGCTTCTCTGCATTTCTTCATTTTACAGTGTGTGGGATGCAGTTATCTCTGAACAGGAATAGGCAACTGTGCACTTGTTACACCATGCTTGATGCTCTGCATTGATGTACACTGGGCCCAGGTTTCCCTGGTGGACTGCTTGGGCCGTTCTTGTCATCTGGCTCTGAAGTCTTTGTTCACAGAGGTGCACTTGCCAGATGGCGAAGCCAGAGATCTGGGGTCCTCTGATGAGGCCACTCTCACCCTTCTTATCTTCCCTGACATACCTAACAGATGAAGCTCAGGTGCGCGATGCACCTCAGGCCACAGTGTGGACTGTTGTAACCAAGCGAGTTATAGAGGAAAGCCACCCTTTGAGACAAATTAAGGAGTCCTTTATTAGCCAGCGACTGAGAGGCAGCTAACACTCAAAATTCTCTTGGCCCCGAGGAAGGGGCTGTTTTTTTTTATTCCGTGGTCTAAATAGGGGAGGGGGGAGTTTATCGAAACAATTTTTACAGAAGCAGAGCTGGTAAATAGTTAAAAAATTAATTGGTTACAAAAGCAGTTACAAAACAAATAAACAGTTCCAGGCGCAGGGGCTTAAACTATCACAAAGAGAGAAATGAAGGGGTTTTGTGTGATATTCACTGAGTGTGTACCCAGGAGCTGCTTGTGCAGCTTGCCTCAATATCTTATCAGTAAGTGCATTCCTGGACGTGCTTTGAGTTAATTTACCCTAGTTATGGCCTTAAGGGAGGGAGATAAAGGGGGCTGCACTTGAAGAAACTAAAATAGAGTCTGTCCGGCTCTCTCTCCGCTAGGAGAGAGTCACTCAGGTTAAAACAAGGTAGGGCATCTATCACAGGACCATGTACAATTCTTCAAACTCCAGCTTCAACTCTCTTTCTTATTGCTCTCTTAAGACAGTATATTTAGATCGGAGTAAATGAAAGTAATGTTATTAGGGGATAAGATTAAAATCGATCCCATTTGTAATAAGGGAAATAGATTATTTGTGAACTGTAATACTTTTTTTAGTGAATAATCACCTTAAAACTTGGAACCTGGATACAAGATAATTCCTTCATTGTGCAAACGTTTAGTAGCAAACTGTATGCCAGGACTGTGCTAGGTACTAGGGATACATAGAGTATCCCTAGTATATAGTATATATACTAGGTTGAATATATAGTATAAGATGCCTTGGAATGTCACATAGTTTCATATAAATGGCTCATGCAGTATATAGACAGTGTGGTAAAAAGAGACTACTGAGATGCACAAAGGACAGACAATAAAGCGTCCTTGAATGGTAGATAAATGTGTTTGGACTTTTCATTCAGGGCTGTTGAAGTTTTAGAAGCTCAGTTGTCTCAGAGTTTCGGTGTTTTCAAGCCCTTCTAAGCACTTTCTTTCTAGCTGATGATTGGCCATCATTACTGATCATCTATTGGCTCTGTCTGATTCAGCAATCCCACCACTGAGTATTTATGCAAAGGAAAAGAAATCAATGTATCAGAAAGATAACTGTACTCGTGTATTTGTTGCAACACTATTCACAGTAGCACATACATAAAATCAAACTGAATGCCCATCAACAAATGATTGGAGAAAGAAAATGTAGAAAATATACACAATGAAATACTATTCAGGCATAAAAAACAATAGAATCATAACTTTTGAAGTCACATGGATGGAACTGGAGGCCATTGTTGTAAGTGAAGCAAACCAGACACAGAGTAAACATCCTATTTTATCACTCATAAGCGGGTGCTAAAAGATGTGTAGATACTGACGTAGAGAGTGGAATGATAATGGAGACTCGGCAGGGTGAGGGGATGGAAGGGGTGAATAGTGAGAAATTACTTAATGGGTACAATGTGCATTATTCTGGTGATGGATACCTAAAAGCCCTGACTTCACCACTATGCCATCCATGCTTACAGCAAAATTGCACTTGGAACCCATAAATTTATACAAAAAAAGTCTTAGACCTCTCTCTCTTCTCTCATAAGCCTCAGAGCTCAATGATCCCCTTGGATCTCCTCAGCCTGCTGAGCTGTGATTTTCCTACCTAAGGTGATTTTGGGCAGAGACAAGGGAGTGTTTCAGGAAGATGTTCTCAGGCGCACGCTTCTAAAGAAACATTGGAGACTCTTCTACTGGCCTTTATCTAGTCACTGTTTTAAGCAAGGAATAAAACATCTGTGGCTAAAATTTGTAAAACTGTGTTTCCCACCCACCCTTCAGACCTGACAGAAGAGTTTTTAGGACTTTAAGGGAACAGCTTTTTCCTGACCCAAAAGGGCACAGTAGTGCAAAGGCCAATGTCATGTACGTACCTTTTCCCCATCTGTAAAATAACTTTCAGATATGATTCCCACACCTGGAATCAGTACAGTGTTTTCACTGAGGTATTAGAAAAGCTTATGGGTTCATTATCATTTGAACATATGAGTAATGTAAAATTTAGGCAGAATTGCATTTGAAAGGATTATTTATGCAATTTTTGATTAAATGGTTTATATTGCAGTTATTTCAAACAATAAAAATCAGGTTATTGTGTTGTAAGCTAGAAATATTTACAGTAACACATGGTCTTGATTATCTCACATGATGAATTAAGATTAAAGCAAAATAATTTATCTTAGGGAATTCTGTGTCAGTTTCTCTTTCTCTTTGCTTTAATAATGACTTCAAACTCTTGTACATATATAGAGAACTCCTGACTAAAGATTTTTTTTTTTTTGTCTATTGTGCTATGTTTCTGTAACTTTTTAAGATCTAGAGGAACATACAATTAGTCTCAGTTGGCCAACTAAATGTTATGGAGTCAGCTTCTGTGTTATGTGCTGAGCATTGAAGGAACGGTGGAGACAAGGCTGCTACCCTCATGGAGTCTGCTGAGAAAACCTGATGGAGTGTGGCAGGGAACATGCTGGGAG
>NT_187420.1:374828-384824 GCF_000001405.40 Homo sapiens
TGCAGGAATAGAAACACACTTGAGAAATCCATGGGGAATGAAAAGAGAGTGGCTGAGCAGCAGCAGATTGTCAAAAAGGAAATCAAGAAGGAGCAGCCAAAGAGGTTGATGGAGAACCAGGAGAAAGAAGGTGACACTGAAGCCAAGGGAGAGGAAAGTGTTTCAGCATCTCTGGGAAAAAATGACATGCTCTGTCTTAACCTTGCCGTTTTATGAGTCATATAGCCACATTCCAGGTTATGAGAAGTCCAGCACTAAAGATGTTTCTTTTAATTTGCTTAACCCAACATTTGCCAGAATAATCTGGGCTCAGTGTGAGTGTGTGTACGTGTGTGTGCCTGTGTGTTCTACTAATGTCTCACTGAGGCTAGTGCTGTACACAACATAATTTTTAAAACACTGGTTTTATCCATCTTTTTGTTCAGCTGCAGCAACATTTACAAAGGTCAACTTTGATCATGTGTCTTCATTACTAAAGGAGACAAAACAAACTAATGAATAAAGCCCACCTGGCAGTGGCTCCTCACTACCTGTACAACGGAGACCACCTGCCTTGGCCTGGGTGCCCTGTGCTGACCTGGCCGTGCTGTCTTCTGTCTGCTGCTTTGCCTCCCCTTTCCTCCTGGAGAAGGTAGAGATGTTCTGAGCTTTGGCTCGTCTGGAACATGTGTCCTTCCCCTCATGTGGCCCATGTTTTCCTGAGTCCACTTTAATCTCGTTTAAGGGTATAGAACTTTCCTTAAAGCTTTTGGTCAGGTCTCACTCTCTATGCTGTCTTCCTGCCACTTCTACAATGTACATACTTTACTGATACATTAATTATGCTATACCAGCCAAGGTTTTTATTTCTATAACATTTTATACCATCATTTTTTTTAGAGATTAGTTCATTTATTTATTCAGTCTTTCCACAATATAATTGTATGTCATATAATTTCATATTTATTTTCATTGGTGTTTATATATCTTTTGTGTAAAAATGGAGGCTTTCTAAATAGATCTTCCTTAATGTTGAAAGAACAAGGTTACATGTCTTGGTCTCAGCCAAAAGAAGTTCCCCACATTACCAGGAGGGAAATAAACACTTGCATTGTTGCATTAGATATTCTTACAGAGAAAGAGAACCATGTGTAATGGAAAATTGCTAACTTTGCCTCAGGGAGACCAGGCTGATTCACTAAGAAAGTCTGAATTGGTTTAGAAAGCATAGTTCTGAGTTTTCTAGAAGGACAAAAGTTAGAGTAGGGCATAAGAAGTAATGCCCATATCAAAAAATTAGAAATATCTCAAATTAACCACCTAACATCACAACTGAATTAGAGAAGCAAGAAGAACTCAACCACAAAGCTTATAGAAGACAAGAAATAACTAAAATCAGAGCTGAATTGAAGGAAAGTGAGACATGAAAAACTGTTCAAAAGATCACTTAATCAAGGTTTTTTGAAAAAATTAATAAGATAGATAGGGCACTAGCTAGATTAATAAAGAAGAAAAGAGAGAAGATTCAAATAAACAAAATTAGAAATGATGAAGGGAATGTTACCACTGACCCCAGAGAAATAAAAATAACAACCAGCAACTACTATGAACACCTCTATACACACAAACTAGAAACACTAGAAGAGATTAATAAATTCCTGGACACATATACTCTCTCAAGACTGAACCAGGAAGAAATTCAGTCTCTGAGCAGACAAATTATGAGCTCCAAAAATTGAATTCATAATAAATAGCCTATCAACACCCCCCCCCAAAAAAAAACCCAGGACCTGATAGATTAACAAATTTTAACAGATGTACAAAGAAGAGCCAGTACCAGTCCTACTGAAACTATTTCAAGAAATAGAGGAGGAGGGACTCTTCCCCAACTTGTTCTACGAGACCAGAATCATCCTGATACCAAAGCCTGGCAGTGACACAAAAAAAGAAGAAAACTTCAGGCCAGTATCCTTGATGAACATCCATTCAATAATCCACAACAAAATACTTGCAAACTGAATCTAGCAACACATCAAAAGGCTAATTCGCCATAGTGAAGTAAGCTTCTTCCCTGGAATGGAAGGTTGGTCCATCATGGGCAAATCAATAAAATGTGATTCATAACATAAACTAAACTAAAGATAAGAACCATATGATTGTCTCAATAGATTCAGGAAAGGCTTTCAGTAAAATTCAACAAAGCTTCATGTTAAAAATTCTCAATAAATGAGGTATCAAAGGAACATACCTCAAAATAATAAAGGTCACCTATGACAAACTCACAGCCAACATTATACTAAATGGGCAAAATCTGGACGCATCCTCCTTGAAACCCGCACAAGACAAGGATGCCCTCTCTCACCACTCCTATTCAACATAGTATTAGAAGTCCTTTCTGGAGCAATCTGACAAGAGAAAGAAATGAAGGGTATTTAAATAGAAAGAGAAGTCCAACTACCTCTGTTTGCAGACAACATAATTCTCTATCTAAACCTTATAGTTGTGACCCAAAAACTCCTTAAGCTGATAAACAACTTCCACAAAGTTTCGGGACACAAAATCAATGTACGAAATTTGCTAGCATTCCTATACACCAAGAAAAGCCAAACTAAGAGCCAAATCAGAGAGGCAATTTTATTCACAATTTCCATGAAAAGAATAAAGTACATACGAATACAGCTAACCAGGGAGGTGAAAAATCTCTACAATGAAAATTACAAAACACTGCTCAAAGAAGTCAGAGAAGACACACATAAATGAAAAATCATTCCATGTTAATGGAGAGAAAGAATTAATATCATTTAAATGGTTGTACTGCCCAAGGCTATTCCTATTAAACTACCAATGACATGCTTCACGGAAGTAGAAAAAAGCTATTCAAAAATTCATATAGAACCAAGAAAGAACCTAAGTAGCCAAGGAAATCCTAAGCAAAAAGAACAAAGCTTGAGGCATCACATTACCCGACTTCAAACTATACTACAGCACTATAGTAACCAAAACAGCATGGTACTAGTACAAAAGCAGACACATACACCAGTGGAATGGAATAGAGAGGTTAGAAGTAAGACCACATACCTACAACTATCTAATCTTTGACAAAGCTGGCAAAAACAAGCAATGGGGAAAAGATTCCCTATTCAATAAATGGTGCTGGGATAACTGGCTAGCGATATGCAGAAGATTGAAGTTGGACTTCTTCCTTATACCATAAGCAAAAATCACTCAAGATGGATTAAATACTTAAATGTAAAACCCAAAACTATAAAGGCCCTGGAAGACAACATAGACAATCCCATCCTGGACATAGAAAGAGGCAAAGATTTCATGATAAAGACATCAAAAAAACAAATACAACTATTGACAAGTGGGATCTAATTAAACTTAAAACTTCCACTCAGCAAAAGAAATTATCAATAGAGTGAACAGACAACATATAGAATGAGAAAAAAATATTTACAAACTATGTATCTGACAAAGATCTAATATTCAATATAAGGAACTTAAATTTACAAGAGAAAAACAAAAAACCCTATGAAAAAGTGGCCAAAGCCCTGACTTCTGCATGGCACTTCTGGACCCAGCCAGGGACTGAGGGATCTCACTGCCCTAAAGGAAAGAACACAGGCCTGTCTGGCTTTGCCAACTGCTAAATGTAGAGACCAAAGACCTTGAGTGAACATAGGCAGTCGTCAGAAAGTGCATGCAGCAGGACTTGAGCAAGACCCGTGCTGTGGTAGCTTCAGGTCTGATCCAGGGCAGTCATAGTGGTGGTGGCCAGGGGTGCTTGTGTCTTTCTTCTCCCAGCTTTAGGTGGCTTCAAACAGAGAGAAAAACTCTTTATCTTTGAGAGAAAATAAGGGTAGGGAAAAAGAGTCTCTGGCCAGTAATCTAGAAAATTCTCCTGGATCTTGTTGAAGGCTGTCAGGGTGGTACTTCTCTGAGTCTGGAAGAATTACAGTATTATTGGGTATAAGGTGCCCCATAAAGCAGATATGGCTTAGATCACAACACCCAACTCTTTTCAAATATGTGAAAAACCTTCCCAAGAAAGACAGCTACAAATAAGCCCAGACAATGAAGACTACAATAAGTACTCACCTTTTCTCTCTTTAAATTTTATTTTTTAAACCTCATATGGTGCTGCATGCCCAAGATTTTAATGTCCAGACACTGAAGAACATCTACTAGCATCAACACCATCCAGGAAAACATGACCTCACCAAGTGAACTAAATAAGGCACTGGGGACAAATCCTGGAGAAAAAGAGATATGTGATGTTTCAGACAGAGAATTCAAAATACCTGTATTAAAAAAAAAAACTGAAAGAAATTTAAGATAACAAAGTAAAGAAATTCCAAATTTTATCAGCTAAACTCAACAAAGAGATTGAAATAGTTACAGCAAATAAAGCAGAAATTCTGAGCTGAAAAATGCAATTGGCATGCTGAAGAATGCATTAAAGCCATGTAACAGCAGAATGGATCAAGCAGAAGAAATAGTGAGCTTGAAGACAGGCTCTTTGAAAATACATAGAAGAGACAAAAGAAAAAGAATAAAAACAACAAATCATGCGAACAGGATCTAGAAAATAGCCTCACAAAGACAGATCTAAGAGTTATTTGTTTTTAAAGAAGATGTAGAGAAAGAGGCAGGGTAGGATCTAGAAAATAACCTCACAAAGACAGATCTAAGAGTTATTGGTTTTAAAGAAGATGTAGAGAAAGAGGCAGGGTAGAAAAATTTATTCAAAGGGATAATAACACAGAACTTTCCAAACCTATAGAAAGATATCCATATCCACCTACAAAAATGTTATAGAACATTAAGCAGATTTAACCCAAAAAAGACGACTTCAAAGCATTCAATAAATCTTCCAAATGTCAAAGATAAAGAAAAGTTCTAAACGAAGAAAGAGAAAAGGAACAAATAACATACTGGGGAGCTCCAACACGTCTGGCAGCAGACTTTACAGTGGAAACTCTACTGGCCAGGAGAGAGAAGCAATAAATATTTAAAGTATTAAAGGAAAAAAACTTTTACCTTAGAATAGAATATACAGTGAAAATTTTCTTCAAATAAAAAGAAATACTGACTTTTTCCGACAAAAAAAAGCTGAAGTATTTTATGAATACCATACCTGTCCTAAAGGAATGCTAAAGGGAGTACTTCAATCAGGAAGAAAAGGACATTAACGAGCAATGAATGATCACCTAAAGGTTAAAAAAAAAATCCTCACTGCTAATAGGGTACAAAACAAAACAGAATATTATAACACTATAGCTGTGTGGTGTGCAAACTACTCTTATTCAAAGTAGGAACACTAATACCCAATCAAAAGTAATAACTACAACAACATTTCAAGACATAGCACAATAAAATATAAATAGAAACAACAAAAAGTTACAAAGTTAAGGGATGAGCACGACCCGTCCTGAGCCGGCAGATGTGGTGGAAGCTCCGGAGCTCGGGAGCTCGCGGAAGGACTGGAGCGTGGGCTGAAAGGAGGCCGCCCCGAGAGCCGGAAGCCTGGGCAGGGGACGGAGGCCTCCGGCGCCCCCCAGCAACAGCAGGGCGGCACCACATTGGTCCTGCGCCAGGTCTGGCCGCCGGTGACGGCGGGACGCTCTGGGAGGCCGGCGGTGCTCGGGTGTAGAGGGAGACAGCTGCCTGGGGGCACCGGCGAGCGCCTCTGGGGGTCCCGGATCCGAGACCCGCGGCCCCGGGGTGGCGGTGATGCCTGGAGTCGTGCGGACGTTGCTGGGCCGGGGTCTTGGGGCAGCCAGGCACCGCTGCTGGCGTCTAGGCCACACCACCCTGAAGGCGCCTGCTCGCCTCTGATCTGTTGAAGCTAAGCAGGGTCGGTCCTGGTTAGTACTTGGATGGGACTCCGCCTGGTAATAGCCGGTACCGTAGGCTTTTGGCTTCCCGCTCTCTCCCTCTTTCCCCCTTTTGTCTCGGTCCTTCCCAAACGCCCCCTTGACCGCCCCCGCGCCCCAGCGGAAGCCCAGGACCTCCTCCTGAAGATCCGCCACTGCAGCACCGCCAGGCAGCAGCATCCCACCTCTTCCGACTCGCGGCAGCCCCACCAGGAGCCCGGCTCCAACCCGGGCAGGATGGGACCGACCCCGAGGGCGCAGGCGCGGGTTCCCTGAGGTCCCGGGTGTCTTCACGCTCCCCGGACTCCCAGGCAATTCTATTCATTCATCCAGCGACACTGCAACCGTCCAAGCCGGGGGAAGGGGCGGGTAGGGGCAGCGGGTCCCACAGACCCCAGGCAAGACCTCCGCTCCAGAACCCGTGGGCTGCTTTCCCCAGGGGAAGGACATTGTCTTCGCCAGCCACGAGGAAATCCGTCCCTGTGCACCCGGTTTCCCAATGCCACCGACTTCGTGTGAACTCCAGTCCTGAGGACAGGAGAGAGACCCAGGCCTCCCCCCATGGACAAGCTCGGCACCACGGCTCCCTCCAGACAAAGGAGCACACTCTACAAATCTCAGGGCCCACCGCAACAAGGAGACAGAAAGAAGCAAACAAAGGAAGGACCTTATGAAACGCACCCACAAAGCAACCAACCAATTCAAGAAAATAAAACACGTCTTAGGGCTCCGTTGGTTTTCCCGCGTAGGGGGCCCTGACCCCCTCTTCTAGCCCGGCCCAAACACCCTCTACCCCACCCCTGCCTGCCGAAAGGTGCCCTGTCTACCTGAGCAGAGCCTCCCTCTCCAAGGCTCTGTTGCTGTCACTCTAGCACTCCCTCACCCTCTCCCTTTCTCTACTTCCCCCTCCACCTCGCACTCTACTGTGGCGCTCTCTCTAACCCCCTCTGTCTCGCCTCCCCCTTCTCTGTCTCTCTCTCTCTATCACTGTCTCTCTCTCTCCTGGTTCTATTTCTCCATCGCTCTCTCCCTTGCTCTCCTTCTGTAGCAGGAGGAGCTGCAGACAAAACCCCTCAGACACCGAGTTGTAGAAGGAGGGGTTTTATTCAGCTGGGAGCATTGGCAGACTCACGTCTCCAAAAACCTAGCTCTCTGAATGAGTAATTCCTGTCCCTCTTAAGGGCTTACAACTCTAAGGGGGTCCGCGTGAGAGGGTAGTGATGGATTGAGGAAGCAGAGGGTACGTGACTGGGGGCTGCATGCACCGGTAATTAGATCAGAACAAAACGGGACAGGGATTTTCACAGTGCTTTTCTATACAATGTCTGTAATCTATAGATAACATAACCGAGTAGGTCAGGGGTCGATCTTTAACTACCAGGCCCAGGGTATGGCGCAGGTCTGTCTGCCTGTGGATTTCATTTCTGCCTTTTTAGATTTTGCTTCTTCTTTCTTTGGAGGCAGAAATTGGGCATAAAACAATATGAGGGGTGGTGTCCCTTCAAGTTATCTGTGTCTGTGTCTTTGTGTGTCCATGTGTGTGTGCCCGGGAGTGGTGTGTCTGTGTCCGTGTGTGTGAGTGTCTGCGCGCGTGCACCCGTGTGTATCCGTGTGTGTGTCAGGGTGGGTTTGCTTGTGGTAGTGGTGGGGTGTGTCTGGGTGTCCGTCAGCCCCTCTTTCCCGGGATGAGGCTGCCGGGGCTCTAGTGCTGGCGCGGGGCAAAGCAGAGCCTTCCTGCCCCGTTGGCCACGGCGGGTCCTTGTCGGAACAAGCGACGATTGTGTAGGCGTTGTAAGAAAAATGGCCCGCGGGGCTGGGCCGGCTGTTCACCCCGGTCAGCCCTGGCGGCTCTGGGTGTGTGGGGCAACAGGGGGCCTTGCAGGAGGGGCAGCAAGGAATCCAAAATATTTTTTCCGCGGCAAAGCGGAGGACCGGAGGGGACCCCAGGACAGTGGGCCCTGGGCCCTGACGCCTCGGAGCACACCCCTTCCTGAGCGGGCCCCAGGTGTTGGAAGCTCTGGAGCTCGAGAGCCTGGGGAAGGCCTGGAGTGTCAGCGAGAGGGTGGTCACCTGGAGAGTCCAGAGCCCTGGCAGGGGAGGGAGGCCTCTGGCGCCTAGGCGGTCTCGAACGTGGTCTGGCCGCCGGCGACAGCGGGACGCTCTGGGAGGTCGGCGGAAAGCGCAGCGCGGTGACTGGTGGTGCTTGGGCGTAGAGGGGGAGAGCAGCCCGGCCAGAGGCAAGTGGCTCTGGGGTGCCTCATCCCAGCCTTGTGGCCCCGGGTTGCTGGTGACGCCTGGAATCAGGCGGGTGTAGCTGGACTGGACTCTTGGGCCAGCCAGGCGCCACTGCCATTGTCTAAGGCCACACCACCCGGAAAACGAGAGAGACCCAAGCCGCGACCCCTGGGCACGCTCAGCGCCACTGCTCCTGCCACAGTGAGGGGCGCACTCTACAACTTTCAGGGCCCACAGCACCAAGAGGACAGGGAGGAGCCAACAAAGGAATGAGGCTACGAAACGCACCCCCAAAGCAACCAACCAATCCAAGTAAAAACACGCCTCAGGGCTCTGTTGGTTTTCCCGCGTGGGCGGCCCTGCCCCCCCTGTTCCGGCCCGTCCCAGACACCCTCCACCCTACCCTGGCCAAAGGGGCCCCTGTCTACCAGATAGAGCCTCCCTCTCCAAGGCTCTGTTGCTCTCCCTCTCTAGCTCCCTCACCCTTTCCCTTTCTCTACTTCCCTCTCCACCTTGCTCTCTCTCTCAATCTCCCCGGTTCCTCTGTGTCTCTCTCTCGATCGCTGTTTCTCTCTCCTTCCGTTTCTATCTCTCCATCCCTCTGTACCTTGCTCTCCTTCAAGCTGTCTGTGTCTTTCTGTGTCTGTGTGTGTGCTTGTGTTCCCGCATGTGCACCCATGTGTGTCTGTGTGTTTGGGAGTGGGTTTGCTAATGATTGTGGTGGGTGAGTCTGGATGTTCATCAGTACCTTAGTCCCGGGATCAGGATGCGAACTCTATTGCCAGCGCGTGGGTGTCACAGTTGCTGTGATATTCTCATACACGCAGATGTGTGGATCTCGTTCATTTTCACGTAGACAACGAGAGCGAAACCACAGAGAAAAGAAACATCCCATGCATCACGGCCTGACGATGGATTCCTGTTTCCTGCAAAATGGGGAGTCTCCAATATAGCCTGTTTGAAAACTGGAAAGGAGAGCACTGACACAATGCTGGTCTTCCACGCATTCCTGGAAGTTTCTGGGACCCCACAGAGCACGGGAAACAAACAGTCAACATGGTCACGCTTTCAGGGGGCAGTAACTTGAGCAACAGGAACCTTTGCAGAGGGCAAAGAAACGTGGAATCCAGAATCACGCTTCAGTTGGCCTAAGTGTGACCCCTGTGTGGATGGGACTTTCCGCCTCGCGCTCTGTTGCAGGGCTCAACGTGGGGATATGTCATCTGTGAACCACGTGGATGAAAAACACACAACCACCTGAGTGTCAGCTCATTGCCCTCTGGGGAATTCGCTCATTCCTTCGGAAACGGAATTGGTCTGAATTGCTCCGGGATGAAGTAACCCAGGCTGGCGATCCAGAGGGCCGCTGAGCGCCCCGCCGGCCAACGGGGCTGTGGGCCCAGCACTTAGCCCGCACTGGGCACCCAACATTTTCCCGGAGTGCTAGGTCCTGTTGGTTCTGGAGGCAGAAGGCCGTTTTTCTCTCTGCCTTCGTTCTCTGTTTCTTGCTCCTTTTGTCCCTCGGTCCATCCTTCCCTCTGTTCTTCCTTCCCTACCCCAGTTTTTTCCCCCTTTCTCCCTCCCTCCATCTTTCTCTCCCTTCCGGGGTCCCTCCTTCCACCCATCCTTTCCTAGCTCCATCCTTCCATCTCACTCTGTCTCCATTCCTGTCCTCATCTCTGCCTGCCTTCCCTCTTGCCTGGAAAGGGCAGCACCTCGGTTTGCATGTGGTCTCGGGTCTACATTTAGTTGCAAGGCATTCCATGGTGCTGGCAAGGAGGCTGGCGGGACAAAGGTTGGCTAGTGATGGAGAGCGAAGAGGCAGAGGAGTCGAGCCGCAGAAAGAACTGGCCTGGCTTCTGCCCCGGCCCAGTGTTTCGCGGACTGAGGTCTCCGCCAACCC
>NT_187420.1:384844-390730 GCF_000001405.40 Homo sapiens
GGGTACCTGGACCGGCCCTGGGATCCCCAGGATGCTCAGGAATTCTTTCTTGTCATTCTTGACAGCCCTCCTCTGTGTGGAGACTCTCTCTGGACCTGGAACTCAGGGATCCTAGGCAGGTCAGCTGGAAGGGAAGACACGCCTCTCCATACCAAGCCTGAGGTTCACCGCGAAAGAGAGGCCGCCGCTCTGCCCCCAACCCGCCCCAACCCCGCCCCAACCTGCTCCTCCAGCAGAGCCCAGTGGTCGCCCTGGCTGAGGAGTGGTTCCAGCAAAGCGGGCTCTTCCACGTCCTTCAGCTCCCACAGTGGCGCCGGATCTAGGAAATGTTGTGCCTTTTGCTGAAACTCTGGGGTTGACAGGAGCTCATCTAACAGGCTGGAGGTGAGTGCAGATGAGCTCCCCGGCTCCTGGAGCTGTTGAGAGGCGCCTGGATGGCTGGCATCTGTTCTTGACGCGGAGGCCTCCGGGGTCGCGATCTCTGCAGGTGGAGGTGCCCCGTCTTCGGGTTCCCATGCCGCCCTGGCGACCTGGGGCTCCAGCCCCACCACGGATTCCGGTGGGACGTGGGTGGCACAAGCACACCTTGCCCCTGTGACTCAGCTTGAGGGGGCCCAAAATGAGCACGCACCCAGCAGGCCCTCGCGCAGCGGTTTCTGGTCTTCCTGTGATTTGTTGGGGTGCAGAGGCCACCAGGGAGTCTGAGGATGGGAGAGCCCCAGTTCCAGAGGAGCCAGGGCAGGGAACACAAAGCCCCACATGCCTGGGCATGTTGGGAGAGTCCTTCTGCCTGCGCAGCCTGGCTGGGCTGGAGCAGGGGGATGGCCCTTGCTGCCTGGCTCACGAAAGCCCCCACTGGGAGAGCCCCAGGCGCGCAGGGCATGTGCGGTGTCGGAAGCGCCATTCCCCACGCCCTGTTGTGGGTGAACTCGATAGAGGAGGGAGGAGGGTGACACCCACCGGGGGTGCCAATTAGTAACCACAGTGGCCTCAAAGAACTCAAATGAAAGGAAGACTTGCATGTCTCTCACTTGAAGTCCAGAGCTAGAAATGATTAAGCTTAGTGAAGATGTAGAATTTTCATAGCTAGAGAGAAGTCAATGCTTGGCTTCAAAACTTCAAAGGATGGGCTGACTCTCTTTGAGGACCACTGCAGCTGGTGACTTTAAGTTACAGCCAGTGCTCATTGACAACTCTGAAAATCTCAGGGCCCTTAAGAATTATGCAAAATCTATTCTTTCTGTGCTCTAGAAATGGAACATCCCTGTCTGGGTGACAGCACATCTGTTAATGGCATGGTTTACTGAATATTTTAATCCCAATATTGAGACCTACTGCTCAGAAAAAAAAGTGATTCCTTTAAAAAGATTGTTGCTTGGCCAGACATAGTGGCTCACACCTGTAATCCCTGCACTTTGGGAGGCCGAGGATCACCTGAGGTCAGGAGTTCAAGACCAGCCTGGCCAAAATGATGAAACCCCATCTCTAATAAAAATACAAAAAAATTAGCCGGGCATGGTGGTAATACCTGTAATTTCAGCTACTCGGGAGGCTGAGGCAGAAGAATGGCTTGAACCCTGGAGGCGGAGGTTGCAGTGAGCCGAGACCACACCACTGCACTCCAGCCTGGGGAACAAGAGCGAAACTATGTCAAAAAAAATAATAATAATAAAATAAAATAAAATAAAATAAAAGGAAAAAGGAAAAAAAGATTGCTGCTTATTGACAATTCACCTAGCTACCCAGAAGCTTAGATGGAGATGTACTTGGAAATTAATGTTATTTTCATGGCTGCTAATACAATATTTACCTTCAGCCTGTGGATCAAGGAGTGGTTTTGACTTTCAAGTGTTTTTATTAATAAATGCATTTTGTAAAGGTATGGCTATCATAGATAGTGATTTCTTTGATGAATCTGGATAAACTGAATTGAAAACCTTTTGGAAAGGATTCACCATTAATCCTTTCATGATATTTGAACCTCCTCCCGTGAATCACAAATGTCTTTACTAGCAATCCTTAAATGCCATTAAGGACATTTGTGATTGATGGGAGGAGGTTGAAATATTAACATTAACAGGAGTTTGGAAGAAGTTGATTCCAGCCCTCATGGATGACTTTGAGGGCTCAGGATGTCAGTGGAGGAAGTCCCTGCAGATGTGGTAGAAATCGCAAGACAACTAGAATTAATATTAGGGCCTTAAGGTGAGATGAAATTGCTGTAAACTCATGATGAAACTTGAACAAATAGGGAGTTGCTTCTTATGGACGAGCAAAGAAAATATTTTCTTGAGATGGAATCTAATCCAGGTGGAGATGCTACAAATATTGTTGAAATGACAACTAAGGATTTAGAATATTCCATAAACCTAGTTGATAAAGCAGCAGCAGGATTTGAGAGGGTTTACTCCAATTTTGAAAAAAGTTCTACTCTTGATAAAATGCTGTCAAACAGCATCACATGCTACAGGGAAATCTTTTGTGAAAGGAACAGACTTCATTTTTTGAAGAAATTGAAACAGGCACCCAACCTTCAGCAGCCCCCACACTGATTAGCCAGCAGTCATCAATATAGAGGCAAGACCCTCACCAGCAAAAAGATTATGACTTGGTGAGGCTCAGATATTCATTAGCATTTTTTAGCACTGATGTATTTTAACTTAAGGTATGTACACAGTTTTTCAGACATGCTATTAATTACTAATTAATAATTAAATACTCATTAGACTACAATATAGTTTAAGCATAACTTTAATAAGCACTGGGAAACAAAATGTTTATGCAACTAACTTGATTGTAACATTTGCCTTATTGCAGTGGTCTGGAACTAAACCCACAATATCTCTGAGGTGTGCTTGTAGGTTTTTGGTTGTAACATTTGCCTTATTGCAGTTGTCTGGAACCAAACCCACAATATCTCTGAGTATGCTTGTAGGTTTTTGGTTGTTCTTTGTTTTGAGATGGGGTTTCGCTCTGTCACCCAGGACAGAGTGCAGTGGCATGATGATAGCTCACTGCAGCCTCAAACTGCTGGGTCAAGTGATTTTTCTATCATAGCCTCCTGGCTGGGTCTACAGGCATGCAGCACTATGCCTGGCTATTTTTTTTAATACTTTTTTTGTAGAGACGGGATCTCACTATTTTGCCCAGCTGGTCTTGAACTCCGGGGCTGAAGCAATCCAGCCACTTCAGCCTCCAAAAGTGCAGCCATTACAGGCTTGAGCCACTGCACCCAGCTTGTCTGCAGTTCTTAAAACAAAAACGGCCAGGCGTGGTGTCTGACGCCTGTAATCCCAGCACTTTGGGAGGCCAAGGCAGGTGGATCACAAGGTCAGGAGTTCGAGACCAGCCTGGCCAAGATGGTGAACCCAGTCTCTACTAAAAATACAAAAATTAGCCGGGCTCAGTGGCGGGCACCTGTAGTCCCTGCTACTTGGGAGGCTGAGGCAGGAGAATCTCTTGAACCCGGGAGGCGGAGGTTGCAGTAAGCCGAGATCGTGCCACTGCACTCCCACCTTGCGACAGAGCAAGATTCCATCAAAAAAAAGAACAAACGTAATTTAAAAGATTAAAAGTTAAGATAGATTTTTACAAATGTATATATCTACCATTACAGTATCATACAGAATGGTTTTACTGCCGTGAAGATTCTCTGTGCTCTGTGCATCCATCTCTTCCTTCCCCTTGGTCCATGGCAACCACTGATCTTTCTACTGTTCCCATAGTTTCACCGTTTCCAGAACGTCATATAATTTGAATCGAACAGTACGTAGACTTTTCGGATTGGCTTCTTCTTTTAGCAATATGCATTTAAGTTTCCTCCATGTATTTTCTTGTGGCTTGGTAGATCATCTCCTGTTAGCGGTGAATAATATCCCATTGCCATTATACTTTTGTCATGACTCAGAAAGTACAATGTGAAGAGTAAATAAGTATGAATGTGCACTGTAAGCTTTGAGTGATAATGAAGGGTCAAGGTAGGTTCCTGGTTGTCACAGGTGTGCTCCTGTGAGGCAGGAAGCTGTAGTGGGGAGGCTGTGTGTGGGGAAAGGGACATATGAGAAGTCTGTACTCTCTGCTCCGTTTAGCTGTGAACCCGCACTTCTCTAAAATATAAAATTAGTTAAAATTAAGAGCAAAAAATTAGAAAAATTAAAACATTACAATGTATCATATAGTTTTCACATCACAAGACAGAAAAAGACATAATAAAAGAAACTGTAGAAAACAACAAGGATAGGAATAAAAATCATCAGTGATAGAAGGCAGAAAACAGAAACGTGGAGCCAAACACATTCATTATTTTAATCATTAGTTATACTCATTTATACTAATTTATATTGATTTAACATATTAATTTTGACTAAATGGCATTAAAGGAGGTTTGAGGAATTTGCATGTCACATTCTGGATGAGAGGACTCAATAATATTAACTCTTTAGTTTGCTGTAAATTATTTAAAAATATGCTCAAATTCCAATAAAAATTCCAAGAAAAATGTTTTCGAACAAGAAAATGTGATTTTAAATCCACAATTGAACACACACGAGAGCCAATTTTATAAAATTTACTATAAGATATTTAAGATTGTTATTACTATTCAAAATTAAACAAATTTGAAATGGCACAAAAATAAACACATTAATGAAAGAGAATAAAAAACACAGAAATTGAGTGTAATTTTATCTAGTAACAGGGTAATATTTTAAACCCACAAAACAGAGCCATTTTTCCATTTATGATGTTAAAATATTGGGTAATGATTTGAGAATATAAAATGATAGAATTGAATCCTGGTCCCACACCTTACATAAAAGTTAATTCCAGTATTAAATGTAAAAAAAAAAAAGAGAGAGAAAAGAAAAGAAAATTAGATGTACTTGTGTTTTATGACCTTGAGAATGAATGAATGTCTTCTAAAATCAAAATTGTGAACAGAAACTATATAAAAAGGAATAAACCTAACGTACCTAAAACGTAAATTCTTACACATTTCAACAGCAAGTAAATAGCACAAAACAAACTGGGGACATTTTTACAACAATTATGTTAGATGAAAGTTAAAATCCTTATGACATATACAATGTATAAAGCAGTATTATTACCACCATTATTAATACCATTATGATTACCTGGTCTTCCCACGCCCCAGTCCTCTTCTGGTGCCCTATGGTGAAACAGAGCCCTCCGTCTCTGGCCACAGTGAGGGATCCAGCAGGAACCCTGCCTAAGCCCTCAGAGGGTGTGAGCCAAACCAGGACATCACATTCCCTCCTGCAATGATGCAGATATCCACTCACGACAGAGATTTGGTACCTCTCTGGAAAAGCTGTGTAACAATTATTGCAGAAACTTGTTTCTTATGTTCCCAGACACATGGAGAAAGCTGGTCTGGAAGACTGATGTCCACATGCTAAGAGAAGCAGTCACTCATAACACACACTGCACACACCACACCATGTGCACATGCACACACACCCCACACACAGACACCACACAAACAGCACACACACCATGTGCACACGTGAAGGGGTGGCTTGCCCCTCCACACTTGTGGGCGTTTCTCATCGGGTGGAACAAGAGACTTGAGAAAAGAGACACAGAGACAAAGTATAGAGAAAGAAAAGTGGGCCCAGGGGAACGGTGCTCAGCATACGGAGGACCAAGGCCGGCACCAGTCTCTCAGTTCCCTTAGTATTTATTGATTATTATCAGGCGTTTCTCAGAGAGGGGGATGTGGCAGGACAATAGGGTAATAGTGGAGAGAAGGTAAGCAGGAAAACATATGAACAAATGTCTCTGCATCATAAACAAGGTAAAGAAAAAAGTGCTGTGCTTTTGATGTTCATATACATAAACATCTCAATGCCTTAAAGAGCAGTATTG
>NT_187420.1:390774-392061 GCF_000001405.40 Homo sapiens
CCTAAAGGCAGTTTTCCCCTATCTCAGTAGATGGAATATACAACTGGGCTTTACACTGAGACATTCCATTGCCCAGGGACAAGCAGGAGACCGATGCTTTCCTCTTATCTCAACTGCAAAGAGGTCTTCCTTTTTACTAATCCTCCCCAGCACAGAACATTTATCGGTGTCAGGCTGGGGGACTGTCAGGTCTTTCCCTTCCCATGAGACCATATTTCAGACTATCACATGGGGAGAAACCTTAGACAATACCTGGCTTTCCTAGGCAGAGGTCCCTGTGGCCTTCTGCAGTGTTTTGTGTCCCTGGGTACTTGAGAGTAGGGAGTGGTGATGACTCTTAACAAGCATGCTGCCTTCAAGCATTTGTTTAACAAAGCACATCCTGCACAGCCCTTAATCCATTTAACCTTGACTTGACACAGCACATGTCTCAGGGAGCACAGGGTTGGGGGTACGGTTACAGATTAACAGCCTCTCAAGGCAGAAGAATTTTTCTTAGTACAGAACAAAATGGAGTCTCTTATGTCTACTTCTTTCTACATAGACACAGTAACAGTCTGATCTCTTTCTTTTCCCCACACACACACATACACACCCCACACACAGACACTCCACACACACCCCAGACACCACACCCACTGCACACACCACACCATATGCACACACACAACCCAGACACCATACACACTGCACATACCTCATGAGCACATGCACACACATCACACAGACACCACACACTGCACACACACCATGTGCACACACCACACACACACTGCACACACACCATGTGCACAAACACACCACACACACACTGCACACACACACCATGTGCACGCATACACACTGCACACACACACTATGTGCACACGCATACACCCCAGACAACACACACTGCACACACACCATGTGCACACACACCCCACACACAGACACCACACACTGCACACACACCCCACCACACTGCACATGCCACACCGTGTACATGCACACACCACACACACCATGTACACAAGCACACATGCCCCACACATACACCACAGACACCACACACACTGCACACAGCACACCATGCATACATGCACACACACCCCCACACACCACACATACTGCACACATACCATGTACACATGCACACACACCCGACACAGACATCACACACTGCACACACACCATGTATACATGCACACATACCCCCACACATCACACACACCACACACCATGTGCACACGCACACACCCCACCACACACACATACACTGCACACAGACCAGGTGCACACACGCACACC
>NT_187421.1:0-1233 GCF_000001405.40 Homo sapiens
CAGTATATAATACATATTTTGGGAACTTTGCTATTTTATGTACAGTATATAATACATACTTTGTGTATTTGATAGTTTATGTAACGTATATAATATATATTTTGGATATTTTGATATTTTAAGTACAGTATATACTATATAGTATGGGTAATTTGATATGTTATGTACCGCACATAATATATAGTTTGAGTACATTGATATTTTATGTACAGTTTATTATAAATGTTTGGGTACTTTCATATATTATGTACAGTGTATAATACATATTTTGGCTACTTTGATATTTTTTGTACGGTATATAGTATATACTTTGGGTACTTTGGTATTTTATGTACAGTATATAATATATATTTTGGATATTTTGATATTTTATGTACAGTATATAATATATATTTTGGGTCCTTTGATATTGTATGTACAGTACATAATACATATTTTGTGTACTTTGATATTTTATGTACAGCATATAATATATATTTGGGGTATTTTATATTTTATGTACAGTATATAATATATACTTTGGGTACTTTGATATTTTATGTACAGTATATAATACATACTTTGGGTACTTTGATATTTTATGTGCAGCGTATAATATATATTTGATGTACCTTCATATTTTATGTACAGTATATAATATATATTTGGTAGACTTTAATATATTATGTACACTATATAATATATATTTGGTGTAATTTGATATTTTATGTACAGAATACAATATATATTTTATGTACCTTCATATTTTATATGCAGTGTATAATACACACTTTGGGTACTTTGATATTTTATGTACAGTACATAATATATAGTTTGGATACTTTGATATTTTATGTACAGTATACAATATATATTTTGCGTATTTTGATATTTTATGTAGAGTATATAATGTATACTTTGGGTACTTTGATATTTTATCTACAGTTTACACTATATATTTTGGGTACCTTGATATTTTATGTACAGTATATGCTACACAGTTTGGGTACTTTGATGCTTTATGTACAGTATATAATATACAGTTTGAGTACTTTGATATTTTATGTACAGTTTATTATAAATGTTTGGTTACTTTCATATTTTATGTACAGTATACAATACATATTTTGGGTAATTTAATATTTTATGTACAGTATATAATATATACTTGGTGTACTTTGATATTTTACGTACAGAATATAATATGTATCGGATGTACCTTCATATTTTATGTACAGTATATAATATACACTT
>NT_187422.1:0-1774 GCF_000001405.40 Homo sapiens
GGAATGTTCAACTCTATGAGTTGAATGCAAACATCACAAAGAAATTCTGAGAATGCTGCTGTCTACCTTTTATTTGAATTCCCGCTTCCAACGAAAACCTCCAAGCTATCCAAATATCCACTTGCAGATTCCACAAAAAGAGTGTTTCAAAACTGCTCTATCAATAGAAATGTTCAACTCCTTTCGCTGGGTACACACATCACAAACAAGTTTCTGAGAAAGCTTCTGTCTAGTTTTTATGGGAAGACATTTCCTATTTCACCAAAGGCATCAAAGAGCTCCAAATGTCCACTTCCAGATACTACAAAAAGAGTGTTTAAAAAGTGCTCTAAGAAAGCGAATGTTCAACTCTGTGACTTGAATGCAGATATCACAAAGTAGTTTCTGAGAGTGCTTCTGTCTAGATTTTACATGATGATATTCCCGTTTCCAACGAAATCATTAGAGCTATCCAAATATCCAGTTACAGTTTCTACAAAAAGAGTGTTTCCAAACTGCTGCATCAAAAGAGAGGTTCCACTCTGTTAGCTGAGTACACACATCACAAACTTCTTTCTGAGAATCCTTCTGTCTAGGTTTTATGGGAAGATATTTACTTTTTCACCGTAGGCATCAAAGCGTTCCAAATGTCCACCTCCAGATAGTAAAGAAAGAGTGTTTCAAACCTGCTCTATGAAAGGGAATGTTCAACTCTATGAGTTGAATGCAAACATCACAAAGAAATTTCTGAGAATGCTGCTGTCTACCTTTCATTTGAATTCCCGATTCCAACGAAATCCTCCAGGCTATCCAAATATCCACTTGCAGATTCCACAAAAAGAGTGTTTCTAAACTGCTCTATCAATGGCAAGGTTCAACTCTGTCAGTTGAGGATACACATCACAAACAAGTTTCTGAGAATTCTTCATTTTTTTTAAGGTAGGACATTTCCTTTTTCACCGTAGGCGTCAAAGCGATCGAAATGTCTTCATCCATACAATACAAAAAGTGTGTTTCAAACCTGCTCTATGAATGGGAATGTTCATCTCTATGTGCTGAATGGAAATATCAGAAAGAAATTTCTGAGAATGCTGCTACATTTTTATGAATTCCCGCTGCCAACGAAATCCTCAAAGCAATCCAAATATCCACTTGCAGATTCCACAAAAAGAGTGTTTCAAAACTGCTCTATCAATAGAAAGGTTCAACTCTTTTAGTTGAGTACACACATCACATACAAGTTTCTGAGAAAGCTTCTGTCTACTTTTTAAGGGAAGACATTTCCTTTTTCACCAAAGGCATCAAAGCGCTCCAAATGTCCACTTTCAGATTCTACAAAAAGAGTGTTTCAAACCTGCTCTAAGTAAGGGAGTTTTCAACTCTGTGACTGGAATGCAGATATCACAAAGTAGTTTCTGAGACTGCTTCTGTGTATACTTTAGATGAAGATATTCCCGTTTCCAATGATATCGTTAGACCTAACCAAATATCCACTTACAGTTTCTACAAAAAGAGTGTTTCCAAACTGCTGCATCAAAAGAAAGGTTCAGCTCTGTTAGTTGAGGACACACATCACAAAGAAGTTTCTGAGAAAGCTTCTGTCTAGATTTTGTATGAAGATATTCCCTTTTCCAACGATGTCGTTAAATCAACCCAAATATCAATTTGCAGAATCCACAGAAATAGAGTTTCAAAGCTGCTCTGTAAAAAGAAAGGATCCACTCTGTTAGCTGAGTACACACATCACAAACTTGTTTCTGAGAATCCTTCTGTCTAGTTTTTATGGGAAGATATT
>NT_187423.1:0-3920 GCF_000001405.40 Homo sapiens
GAAGCACTATTAGAAACTACTTGGTGATATCTGCATTCAAGTCACAGAGTTGAACATCCCCTTACTATGAGCACGTTTGAAACACTCTTTTGGTAGAATCTGGAAGTGGACATTTGGAACACTTTGATGCCTTTGGTGGAAAGGAAACGTCTTCCCATAAAAGCGAGAGAGAAGCATTCTCAGAAACTTGTTTGTGATGTGTGTTCTCAACTAAAAGAGTTGAACCTTTCTATTGATAGAGCAGTTTTGAAACACTCTTTTTGTGGAATCTGCAAGTGGATATTTGGATTGCTTTGAGGATTTCGTTGGAAGCGGGAATTCATATAAAATGTAGACAGCAGAATTCTCAGCAATTTCTTTCTGATATTTCCATTCAACACATAGAGATGAATATTACCTTTCATAAAGCAGGTTTGAAACACACTTTTTGTAGTATATGGAATGGACAATTTGATCGCTGTGTCGCCTACAGTGAAAAAGGAAATATCCTCCCATAGAAAGTAGACAGAAGCATTCTCAGAAACTTGTTGGTGATATGTGTCCTATACTAACAGAGTTGAACCTTGCTATTGATAGAGCAGATTTGAAACCCTCTTTTTGTGGAATCTGCAAGTGGATATTTGGATTGCTGTGAGGATTTAGTTGGAAGCAGGGAATTCATATAATATATATTTTGATATTTTTTGTTCAGTATATAATATATAGTATGGGTACTTTGATATTTTATATACAGCACATAATATATAGTTTTAGTACTTTGATATTTTATGTACAGTTGATTATAAATGTTTGGGTACTTTCATATTTTATGTACAGTATATGACACATATTTTGGTTATTATGGTATTTTATATACAGTGTATAATATATATTTTGGGTCCTTTGATATTTTATGTTCAGTATATAATATATATTTTGGGTACTTTGATATTTTATGTACAGTATATAATGTATATTTGGGGTATTTTATATTTTAAGTACAGTATATAATATATATTTAGTGTACTTTGATATTTTATGTACAGAATACAATATATATTTGATGTAACTTCATATTTCATGTACACTATATAATATGTACTTTGAGTACTTTGATATTTTATGTACAATATATAATACATACTTTGAGTACTTTGATATTTTATGTGCAGCATATAATATATATTTGATGTACCTTCATATTTCATGTACAATTTATAAAATATATTTGGTGTAATTTGATATTTTATATACAGAATATAATATATATTTGATGTACTTTCATATTTTATGTACAGTATATAATACGTATTTTGGGTACTTTGATATTTTATGTACAGTACATAATATATATTTTGGGTATATTGATATTTTATTTACAGTATACAATATATATTTTTGTTACTTTGATATTTTATGTACACTCTATAATATAAAGTTTGTGTACTTTGATATTTTATGTACAGTATATAATATATATTTTGGGTACTTTGATATTTTATGTACAGTATATAATATATATTTGGGGTAGTTTTATATTTCATGTACAGTATATAATATATATTTGGGGTAGTTTTATATTTTATGTACAGAATATAATATATGTTTGATTTTCCTTCATATTTTATGTACAGTATATAATATATATTTTGGGAACTTTGCTGTTTTATGTACAGTATATAATACATACTTTGGGTATTTGATAGTTTATTTAACGTATATAATATATATTCTGGGTATTTTGATATTTTAAGTACAGTATATACTATATAGTATGGGTACTTTGATATCTTGTGTACCGCACATAATATATAGTTTGAGTACATTGATATTTTATGTAGAGTTTATTATAAATAATTTGTTACTTTCATATTTTATGTACAGTATATGATATATATTTTGGGTATTTTGATATTTTTTGTACGGTATATAATATATACTTTGGGTCCTTTGGTATTTTATGTACAGTATATAATACATATTTTGTGTACTTTGATATTTTATGTACAGTATATAATATATATTTGGGGTATTTTATATTTTATGTACAGTATATAATATATAATTTGGGTACTTTGATATTTTATGTACAGTATATAATACATACTTTGGGTACTTTGATATTTTATGTGCAGCATATAATATATATTTGATGTACCTTCATATTTTATGTACAGTATATAATATATATTTGGGCAACTTTAATATATTATGTACAGCATATAATATATATTTGGTGTACTTTGAGATTTTATGTACAGAATATAATATATCTTTCATGTACCTTCATATTTTATGTACAGTATACAATATATATTTTGGGTACTTTGATATTTTATGTACAGTATGCTATATATTCGGGTACTTTGATATATTATGTACAGTATATAATATACAGTTTGGGTACTTTGACATTTTATATACTGTATATAATATGTAGTTTGAGTACTTTGATATTTTATGTACAGTTTATTATAAATGGTTACTTTCATATTTTATGTACAGTATATAATACATATTTTTGGTACTTTGATATTTTATGTACAGTATATAATATATATTTGATGTACTTTGATATTTTATGTGCCGAATATAAAATATATTTGATGAAACTTCATATTTTATGTACAGTATATAATATACACTTTGGGTACTTTGATATTTTATGTACAGTATATAATGCATACCTTGGGTAGTTTGATATTTTATGTGCAGCATGTAATATGAATTTGAAGTACCTTCATATTTTATATACAGTATACAATATATATTTGGGGGATTTAATATATTATGTACAGTACACAATATCTAATAGGTGTAGTTTGATATTTTATGTACAGGATATAATATATATTTGATGTACCTTCATATTTTATGGACAGTATATAGTATATATTTTGGGTACTTTGATATTTTATGTACAGTATACAATATATATTTCAGGTACTGTGATATTTTATATACACTATATAATAATACACAGTTTGGGTACTTTGATATTTTATGTACAGTATATGATATATAGTTTGAGTACTTTGATATTTTATGTACAGTTTATTATAAATGTTTTGTTAATTTCATATTTTATGTACAGTATATAATGCATATTTTGGGTACTCTGATAATTTACGTACAGTATATAATACATAATTTGGGTACTTTGATATTTTATGTACAGTATGTAATATATATTTTGAGTATTTGGATATTTTATGTACAGTATATAATATTTATTTTGTGTCCTTTGATATTTTATGTACAGTATATAATATGTATTATGGGTACTTTGATATTTTATGTACAGTATATAATATATATTTGGGGTATTTTATATTTTATGTACAGTATACAATATATATTTTGGCTACTTTGATATTTTATGTACAGTTTACAATATATATTTTGGGTACTTTGATATTTTATGGACAGTATATAATACACAGTTTGGGTACTTTGGTATTTTATGTAGAGTTTATTATAAATGGTTGGGTACTTTCATATTTTATGTACAGTATATAATACATATTTTGGGAACTTTGCTATTTTATGTACAGTATATAATACATACTTTGTGTATTTGATAGTTTATGTAACGTATATAATATATATTTTGGATATTTTGATATTTTAAGTACAGTATATACTATATAGTATGGGTAATTTGATATGTTATGTACCGCACATAATATATAGTTTGAGTACATTGATATTTTATGTACAGTTTATTATAAATGTTTGGGTACTTTCATATATTATGTACAGTGTATAATACATATTTTGGCTACTTTGATATTTTTTGTACGGTATATAATATATACTTTGGGTACTTTGGTATTTTATGTAGAGTATATAATATATATTTTGGGTATTTTGATATTTTATGTACAGTATATAATATATATTTTGGGGTCCTTTGATATTTTATGCACAGTACATAATAC